>NC_000003.12:165372240-165523755 GCF_000001405.40 Homo sapiens | reverse complement strand
AAAAAGACACTT
Organism: Homo sapiens; assembly: GCF_000001405.40. NCBI lineage: Eukaryota > Metazoa > Chordata > Mammalia > Primates > Hominidae > Homo > Homo sapiens. The sequence goes on along the minus strand of NC_000003.12, from coordinate 165,523,743 downwards.
CTTTTTTTATTAAAATAACTGGTTTTCAAATATTTATGATTTATTTCTCTTCCATTGCTGTTAACTTCACAAAATACCTTCAGAAATATTGATGAAGACAGCTAAGTTTATGTGACCTATTGCAGGAAGAAAAACTATCACCTTAATAGAGTACAAGTGTAGTGTCTCAAGAAGGAGAAGTCAGAGGGAAAGGGAGATGTTTATTAGAATCTCATACCTTCATGAGTGATTTTAAAGCTAGTCTTGACAGGGGGGAAGTTGGTTGAGATTCAACAGGGTCTAGGAAGTAGTTTTGGATTGATGGGCACCATGAAGCCAGGATCTTGAAATGAGTATTGATCAACACTTTTGTTAGTTTTGATTAAAAACCTATTTTAGCTGGTTATTCGTCTTATTTCCAAAGAGAAAATATTTTCTAGAACAAGTAATTGCTTTATTTTTGCTTGTTCTTGGTATTAACTTAATAGAGGTACAAGGAAATATTCTGGTTTCAATTTTATTTAACAAAGTGACCAGAAATTATGTTGATTTTAGTTCTTAATGTTTTGTTGTTTCGCTAGCTTCTTGAGGTGAATGCAGATTTCATTTATCAGACTAAAAATATACATCTGTGGCTACAAAATTTCTTTAGAGTATGATTTTGATATTATGTGATTTGATATATAGTAAGATTCATTTTTAAATAATATCTAATTTTAGTTTTGATTTCCCCTTTAACACAAATAACAAAATATTTTTATTTTCAAATATTAATTTTGGCTATTTTTAATTTTAACTTCTAATTTTATTCCGTTAATTCCATTAATATAATTTACATAAATTCTGCTTGCATTTTTTTCTAATATTGTAAATATATTATGGGTATTTGGGAAAAATTTATATTCTGTTTACTGGAAATTTTAAATATATTATTTCATAAAATACTTCTATTTCTAATATAGGCTCACTTTATATGGTTTGTGGCTTTTTTTTGGTACACACATGCTTATAAAGGCGGCATATTTATGATAGATTATACCTCTTTGCCTTTTTGTTCCAGCTATTCCTCTCCATTTCCATTCCACTTCTTTATCCCCTAGATCACCAAAGGAGGCACAAGTCCTTCAGGGTCTTAAGACTCTTAGGAAAACAGTTGCTTTGCCTTCTGGCATTCAGCCTGTCATTTTCCATCAGAAGTAATCACAGTTCTCCACAGGACAAGCTGTAGTTTTTTAGAACAGCCAAGTCTCATTCTATTAACAGCAACAAAAATCAGATGTCAGGCTGCAGAGATGTACCACAGTGACCATATTTTCTACTATTGTATAGAGCAATTTTTACTTCTTATAATGAAGGGTCTGTAATTGCTTTTCTGATATCGGAGTCTGTCTTTTATTTGTTTAGTTATATATCTCAAGAGATTTTTCTAGAATAAAAGAGCCTGTCTTAAAAATGTGTTTATTACCTCTATTTTAAAACAGAAACCTGATATTTTCTCTGAAACATCTGAAGGGTTACTGGAAGTTCTACTCTCTTTCAAGATTTCAAAAATTCTTGGGACCACATTAGAGTTCAATTTCAAAGTAACCAGTCACATACCTCCAGCAGTCTGTATAATAGTTTCCCCAAGATTCTCCCATGCTCACAAGAACAATTTAATATAGTAAGTGGTCAGCCATTAGAGGTAGATGGCACCTGTTGCGTCTTTATTGTCCTACAACTTACTGTGAGGCCTTGCACAATTTACTTAATTTCTTTACAATTATATTTCTCTAAATAAAAAATGAGAATAATACCAGGTTTTGCCTTGTACCACTGTTGCCAGGATTAAATGAGATAAAATCTGGGATGTGTTTTGCAAGAGCTTAGCACAGGGTGAGGACTCAAGGTAAGAGAACTCTTATTGGTAATGAAAGCTCAATTGTAAGATAATAAATATATACCAGGCATATATATCTTGTTCCAGGATCATTACCTTTTTCCTGGGAAGAGATCACAATTATACCTAGAAGCAAAAGCCAAGAACCCATTAGTATCTGAGAAAGCACATGGTAACAGAAGACAGGGTACAGGAAGCAGGTGCTGAGGGATCTACTTAATTCTGAAGGATGGCATGTGTCTGGCCAAGGGTTATTTTTAACAAGCTCAGCAAAACTACAGCAGATCATATTCTATAGCCTCTTAAAGGCACTGCCAGCACCTTCAGGTTTCGGGACCAATGGGAACTCTGTGCAAAGGTATTTGTTATCATTTCTGGCAAAATATTTACTTTAATTATGACTGGAATTCCTTGTCACATATTTTAATAATATTCCCACTGTCAGTCTATCCATAATAATTCAAACAGTGAAAATAGTCTCTACTACTAGATACTTGCCTTCTCTTTCACACTACCTAAATTTCTGAGAGTTAGCTGCTTCCTCACACCAGCAAGTTGAGTCAGCAGATAAGTGACCACATGCACATTGCAAAAGTACCTCTTTCCCTGTTACAAACCACAATTATCTCTAATTAAATTGTCTTGTAAGCACCTCAAACTCAACTCAACATCTCCAGGCATAATATATTGATTCCTATTATCATCTGCTTTCAAACTTTCGTCTTTCAATGTTACCCATCATAGAAAATGGTATCACCATTCATCTAGTTGCTCAGGGTTAGAACCTTACAATCACATTTCATCCCTCTTTCTCTCCTACCTCATAACTAATCCCTCAGTGAATAGCAGTCAGAGTAAAGGTAACAAGAGCTACCTTAAGCATATGTTCTTATTGCACCCTTCTCCCTACCTCCACTACCATTGAAGTCACACCATCATTTCTAACCTGGACAACTTCTGTAGCCTCCTAACTTGCCTCATTGCTTCCTCTATTGTATCACTCAGTCTATTCTGAACATACCAGCAATTATAGAATTTCTTGACCTCTTAATGACTTCTAAATGGCAAATCAGATAGTGTTACTCTTGCTTAAAATCTTTCAATGATTTCCTATCATACATTGAATAAAATTCTTATTATGGCTTATAAGAATGTCAGAACTCGGTCTTATCTCTGGCTTCCTCTGTGTCATCATTTCTTATCATTCTACTTGTTGCCCACTTCACCCCTGCCACAGAGCCCCCTTGCTATTTCTTAAGCACTCTCAGCACACTGTTGTCTCAGGATATTTGCACTTGCTATTCCCCTGTCCCAAAATCCTACTTCTTACATGGCAGGCTCACTTAATTCGCTTCATTCAGATTTCAGTTCATATATCCTCTTATCAGAGTATCTGCTTTTCTGCTTATATACCCGTAACATTTTTTCCCTAAAACAGCGTCCATGTCTCTCTATTCTATGATATTATACTATTTTATTTTTCTTCATAGCATTTATTACTTTTCAACATCTTGTTTGATTTGGTTTGATTTGATTATTATTGGCCCCTACCCATACTAAAATGTAAGCTCCATGAGAGTGGGGCTGGCTCTTTACTATCCACTTTTGAGTTCACAACATTTATAACACACCTTGAACCTGCCCCATTGTAGATACTCATCAAATAAATTTTCTGTTTATTACTCATTTTAGTTTTGTTTGCTCTTTGCAGTAATTAGTGTATGCCCTGCTAAGGGCCCTAATTAAAACTGTTATATGGAGCTGATGCAGGGTTATTAGATATGTTTTTGAAGTTTGCGTATTTCAGAATGCTAGGGGCACCCCTTGGATTTGCATTATTAAGAAAGTCGGCAGCTCTACACATTGGCCCTACAAGTAAGAAAAAAAAAAAAAAGAAAGAAAGTATTGAACAGGAACCCAACCTTAAGGCTGATAGAGAGAACCAGAGGAAACTGATAAATTTAGAGCAAGTGGAGCCAACAGGATTCTTAAGTCTACTGTTGATGATGTCATCATGCGGGTGATCATACTAGAGATCCCGATTCTATTGAAAGTCACTCCCCCTTTCCCCAGCCCCCGCCTGCAAATAAGCAAGTATAATAAAAGCATAATTTGGAACCAGTAAAATATGTGATTAATATTTAATAAACAGGATGTGTCAGGAGAACAATATCATGTCAGGTAGATGAGGTTAAATAATATGTGAAATTGAATTTATAAAATGTATTTGAAGGAATGAAAAGAAATGACAATAACCAATATCAAACTAAACATGTTCACAGTATTTTCTTCTCTTAGTGTCTTAGGGATTTTATGAATTGAGGAAACTTCAGGAAGAGACAAATGCTCTGTATGTTTTCTTTCCTTTGTCTCCTCCACGCAATGAGGTGATAAAGGTTTCAAATTGAAATGCACTTTGAAGTTATTAGGACAGAAGAGTCATCAATTTTAAGGTATTTTTCTCCTTTTCTTTCTACTATTCCTCACATCATTTTATGCCCTGGACCATTTTAACTGCCACTTTCTTAGGTCTCTATCACTCATCTCAAATTTCTCCACCTTCGCTATTCTGGCATTTCACCTTTGCTTTCCTCCTATTAAACCCACTAAAAGGCCCACAAATCATAGCCTCTGGTGAGTCATTTATCTTTCATACTTCAGTTTCATCATCTATAAAATAAAAATACTAGCAATCTTTTATGTGTTTTACAAATACAGTATGGTATAAAGCAAGTAATATGTGTGGAAAATGATGGAAGATGGTATGAGACAATCAGAAGGTAAGGAAAGTGGAGGAAGCCTGATCACCTGCAGAGCGGTCACAAATAGAGGAAGAAGGTGAAGCAAGGTTCTAAAGAAAAAGATAAGGAGCAGATAGTGGAAAGCAGGTGGTAGGGAAAGTGACTGCACCTAGTAACCTAAGGGAACAGTATAGAAATAAATGAAAAATCTTGTGAAACATCAAGATAAGCACCAATAAATATATAATCTTTTGCTCATCAGAAAGAGCTAAGCACTGTGATATGCCAAATATGTGTTATTATTTATATGCATTGGAAATTGGTTAGTAAAAGCATAAGCTGGCTTACTTACAGTGAGTTAGGAATTAAAATTAAGTCATGATTGCTATGGCTGTGTTTGTGCTGAAGTGAAATTGCATTATGATTAGGTAAATAGAATAAGACATACGTGCAAAATCCATTAAAGTCTTGGGCTCTCAACTCTTATCAAAGGAGTAAGGGAATGAGTTAAAAATAGTAGGCAATTAGAGTCTACCAACAACTACTCTCAGGAGATCTTTGTGCAAGAGCCAATAGTAGAGGTTGTTCAGAACAGGCAAATGGATGACTCAGAGTAGAAGATGGTCTCCTGGCCTGAGGCTTTCTTTTCATGCTTCTCAAATCAGAAGTACTTTTCACACTTCTCTCAGTAAAATATATCCAAGGAAATCCCGAGGAAAATCAAAGCAGGCTGCAAATACTAGATTATGACATAAATAAATCCCCTGATTCTTTCAGAATAGATACCAGTGAGATTTCAGACTACTGCTCCCCCTCAGGGAGAAAATCACTAAAGAAATTCCTTTCACTTACTTTGGGACTGCTTCTTGTTGAAAAGTGTTATTCTAACGATTTTTGTGCACTTGCTTTGTTACCCAGGCTTCAGGGTGAAAAGGAGTAAACTCCAAGAAAATAAAATGAAAGTATTGACTATTTTATACATTAATTAGATGAAAAAGCTGTATCTCTATAATGCCAGGATTCCACATTCCAAATTCCTGGAAATTGGAGTCTTTTCTTTTATTGACTGCTACCAGTACTTTTTTTCTTTTTTGGAAATGTTTTTTGTTTTTTGTTGTTGTTGCTTTTGTTTTAAAGTTTGATACTAAACTCAAAGCCTAACATTAAAGAATGAAAATTGGCCAAGCATGGTGGATTACACCTGTAATTCCAATACTTTGGGAGGCTGAGGTGGAAGGATTAGTTGAGTCCAGGAGTTCCAGACCAGCCTGGGCAGTATAGCGAGACCTTGTGTCTACAAAAACTATAAAACTTATCCAGGCATGGTGGTGCACACCTGTAATCCCAGCTACTCAGGAGGTTGAGGTGAATAAATCTTTTGGGCCTAGGAGGTTGAGCCTGAAGTGAGCCATGATTGTGACACTGCACTCCAGCCTGGGTGAAATATCAAGACTCTGCCTCTAAAAACAGACTGAAAGTTGCTGAATCATATTTTGGGTTTTATTTGCATGAAATAAAAGATTCATATAAGTAGAACAAGATCAAATAACAAATATATAAGTTTTATTTGAAAATTTTATTTTCTATGGTTTATTGACACAAACCATATAAATAGAATTTGTAGAAATAATCCAAGTGGTATAGAAACCAATTTTGTTTTTATAAAGTCATGAGATGGTGAAGATTTTTCTATGTCAATTTAATGGATTTAATTTTTAAAAAGAAGGTATTATTTTGTAATATGAACTGGATTAAATATTGGATTTCTATTTTGCTGTGTAATGTAAAACTGAATTAATATTTATTTCCACTGGTTCATTAAGTCAACAAATATTTGTGGAGTGCCTACTATCTGATAGGCACTGTTCTAGGTAACGTGATTAGGGAAGAAAACAAGATGAACAATACTTCTGTCTTTCTTTTTTTTCTTTTTTTTTTATTATACTTTAAGTTCTAGGGTACATGTGCACAACGTGCAGGTTTGTTACATATGTATACATGTGCCATGTTGGGGTGCTGCACCCATTAACTCGTCATTTACATTAGGTATATCTCCAAATGCTATCCCTCCCCGCTCCCCCCACCTCACAACAGGCCCCGGTGTGTGATGTTCTCCTTCCTGTGTCCATGTGTTCTCATTGTTCAATTCCTACCTACAAGTGAGAACATGTGGTGTTCAGTTTTTTGTCCTTGCAATAGTTTGCTGAGAATGATGGTTTCCAGCTTCATCCATGTCTCTACAAAGGACATGAACTCATCATTTTTTATGGCTGCATAGTATTCCATGGTGTATATGTGCCACATTTTCTTAATCCAGTCTATCATTGTTGGACATTTGGGTTGGTTCCAAGTCTTTGCTATTATGAATAGTGCCACAATAAACATACGTGTGCATGTGTCTTTATAGCAACATGGTTTATAATCCTTTGGGTATGTACCCAGTAATGAGATGGCTGGGTCAAATGGTATTTCTAGTTCTAGATCCCTGAGGAATCGCCACACTGACTTCTACAGTGGTTGAACTAGTTTACAGTCCCACCAACAGTGTAAAAGTGTCCCTATAACAGAGATATAGGCCAATGGAATAGAACAGAGCCCTCAGAAATAATGCCACATATCTACAACTATCTGATCTTTGACAAACCTGACAAAAACAAGAAACGGGGAAAGGATTCCCTGTTTAAGAAATAGTGCTGGGAAAACTGACTAGCCATATGTAGAAAGCTGAAACTGGATCCCTTCCTTACGCCTTATACAAAAATTAATTCAAGATGGATTAAAGACTTAAATGTTAGACCTAAAACCATAAAAATCCTAGACAAAAACCTAGGCAATACCATTCAGAACATAGGCATGGGCAAAGACTTCATGTCTAAAACACCAAGAGCAATGGCAACAAAAACCAAAATTGACAAATGGGATCTAATTAAACTAAATACTTCTGTCTTAACAGAGCTTGCGTATTAGTAGTAAAGAAACATGAAATTTCAATTAGATAGATGACAAATAGATAAAATTTAGATGAGATAGATATAAATATCATGATGAAAATAAATAGGGAGATGGGCTAGAGTTTGTGGTGGGTTACTTTAGATTGAGTGGCCACAGACTATTTTTGAGTCTGAATTACAAGATTTGGACAGACAATATTCTCAGCAGGGAATGACAATGACAAAGCCTGAAGATAAGAACTAGCTAGTTTTAGAAAACAGGAGAAAAGTCAGTGAAGCAAAGTAAGCACAGTGAAAAATGGTATGACATGACTTTGGGGTGTTGGTAGAAACTAAATCTCACAAAGCCTCATAGGACAACATAAGAGATTAATTTTATTCTATATTCTGTGTTTTATCAATCGTATACTGCTGGGAAGCAAATCAGTCCAAAACTTAGTAGCTTAAAAAGGAATATTGGGCTCAGTGCAGTGCCTCACACTTGTAATCCCAACAATTTGGAAGACTGAGGCAAGTGGATCACATGAGGCCAGCCTGGGCAACATAGCAAGACTCCGTTTCTACAAAAAAATAAAAAATTAGCCAGACACAGTGGCACATGCTGTGGTCTCAGCTACTGGGGAGGCTGAGGTGGGAGGACCTCCTGTGCTTAGGAATTTGAGGCTACAGTGATCTGTGAATGTGCCACTGTACTCCCACCTGGGTGACAAAATGAGATCTTGTCTCAAAAAATATTGTTTAATTAAAACAAAAAGCTATATTAATTTATTTTGCTCACAAATCCGCAATGATCCATGCAGCATCAGCTGAAGTGTTTCAACTGGGTCCTGAAAGATTCAAGATGGTTTACTCACAAGGCTCTCAAGTTCTTATGGGTTATCAGATGAGAGCTCAATCAGACTGTAGGCTAGGTGCCTGCGTTCTTCTTCATGTGAGCCTCCCCACAACAGGTCTCTTGGACTTATACAAGCATAGGGGCTAGGTATTAAGAGCAAGCATCCTAAATGAACTAGGAAAATGTATCATGCTTCATGACCTACTCTCAAAAGTCATATAGCATTAATAATCACAGCCTTGCCCATATTCAAGGGAAAGGAATACCTCTTGATGGGAAGAGCATCAAAGGCATATTGTAAGAAAAAGAAAGTAGCTGGGCATGGTGGTTCACACCTGCAATCCCAGCAAGTTTAGAGGTTGAGGCAGCAGGATCTCTTGAAGCCAGGAATTCAAGATCAGTCTGAGCAACAAAGTGAGACCCCGTCTCTACAAAAATTAAAATTAAAAAATTAGCCAGGAGTGGATGCACACCTGTGGTCCAAGCTACTTGGGAGGCTGATGTAGGAGGATTGTTTGCACTCAGGAGTTTGAGCTACAGTGAGCTATGAATGTGACACCACTCTAGCCAGGAAACAGAGTGAGACCCTCTCAGAAAGAAAGAAAGAAAAGAAGGAAGGAAGGAAGGAAGGAAGGAAGGAAGGAAGGAAGGAAGGAAGGAAAGAAGGAAGGAAGGGAGGAAGGGAAAGAGAAAGAGGAAAGAGAAAGAAAGAGAAAAATAAAGAATAAAAAAAAAGTGTGACAGGAAATCTTTGAAAAATACAATCTGCCACAGTCTATCTTCAGGCCACAGTGATTTATATACCTCTCGCATATAAAATACAGTCATTCCCCAAGACTAAAGGTCTCACTTCATAATTACATAAGCTCAAAGTTCAAAATCTTATCATATTAATCCAATATAGGTAAAAATAATTCCCCTTAAGTGCAATTCCTGAAATACAGCTCATTGAGCACTCTTTTTTACAATGTGATACATGTCACACATCTGACCTAAAAAGAGAATTTTTCTTGTTCTCCAAATACCCAACGTCAAGTGGAGGAACAGGCATTGGGAAACTGCTACAGACAATCCTACACAAAAGGGTGGGGAATGGGAAGGAACACAGTAGTCACCGGTCCATGTCAATCCTGAAATGCCAGGCACATGCTGCCAATTATTTGGTTAGAGTTCAGTCCTACTCCCTGGAAATTGCTCTCTATGGCTCTTTGCTGCACTCCAAGATCTCCTCAATCTGCCCTGAGTCCACCTTCCATTTTCCTAAGCCTGTTTACACCTATTTCCTGCTTGTAAAGGTTTGAGGGCTTAGCAATATTCCATTTTAAGCTATTTCTTTCCCTTTTTCTTACAAGTTGATACAATTATTTTAATATTTGTGGGATTTCTGTGTATTTGTGTACAATTCATTCCATCAGACGAAAGCCAAAACCACAAATCTTGTCAAGACAGGCCATTCTCTTTCTTGATCTTGCCATGAGTTTGCCTTGGGACACCATCCTTGAGATTCTTATAAGTCTCACTGTATAATGGGGAGGACATTTAAAACACATTGTTATGCTCCTTAGAGGGGTGATTGTTTTAAAAATTATATAAAGAATCATCTTAGATCTCTCTGAGGTCTTAAGTGTGAGTTGTACAGTATAATTGATTTTCTCCCTTAAGCCAGTCCTTGATTTGAACATCATTTGCAATCTAGAAAGAGTAAGAAAGAGAAACTGATTTATTTTCCAGCTAAGAAAGTTCTGAATATTTTATACTTAAGACTTAATTTTTAGCTCATTCCTCTCCCTCTGACATTTTATCATAGGCAGTGAAAAGAATCCCAGTGACACTTCCAATTTTCTGCTTGAAAATTTCCTTAGTTTGATCATCATGTTCATTGCTATATTTCCCATCTTGCCTGTTACTTCAGGTAATAGTGTTGTCAAAGTTTCCACTGCTACTAAACATCTTCCAATCACATTTTCCTACTTTCCTTGAGCTGTCAGACACAGCTTTCTCAACATTCTTTAGGCTTCTGGTAACACTTTGCCAAAGCTTTTCTGGCTTCCGTCTGTGGCCTATCTCAAAGCCAATGCTACATGTTTAAGTGTCTGTACAGCAACACTCCACTTTCCAGTACCAAAATTTATATTAGTTACCTGTTACTGGATTAAAAAAAAAAACTATCCCAAAATCTAGTGACTTAAAAGAAAAACAAAAATTTTCTTTGTTCATAATTCTGCAACTTAACAAAGTATGGTGAGTATGGAACAGCCCACCTCTGTTCCACCTGTCAAGATGGCTGACTTTCTTGGCTGGCAAATTAATACTGGTTATGGCCTGAAAACTTAGCTAAAGCTGGAGGAACCAGATCTCTCCATATGGGCCTCTCCATAGCTTACATGAATTTATTCAGGCATGGAGGCTGGGTTAGAAAGTGTCCTAAGGGGATCAGGTATGACTTTATCTAATTTCATTACCTGTAGTGTCAGTTCTGCTGGAATCATAGGGCCATCCACATTTAAAGGGAGGGGACATAGACTCCCACCCTACAGTGGTAGGAATATCAAGTTATATTCACAGAAGTAAATGTAGGATGGGAGACTTTAAGTCTTCTTTGGAAAATAAAATTTGCTCAAATGAAAAGAAAAAACATCAGATGGCTTTGAGCTAGATTAGTAATGTTATCTGATTTTTGTAGTAAAAGATTACTCTGGTTTCTATGTGGAAGATAAATTAATGTGTATCAAGACAGAAATTAAGGATATCACTACAGAGGCTATTGCTAAAGTTTAGGAAAGAGATATTGGCAGCTTGAATGGGGAGAAGAAATAGAAACGGAGACAAGATTGGAGATATATTGTAGAGGTTCAATCAGTGGAAATAAATTAGATGCAGTCATTGAGAGAAAGAGAGTAATCAAAAATTACTTCTAAATTTTGCACTTGAGAAATTGTGTGAATAGTAATTCTATTCACTGAAATGAAGAAGACTAGGGAAGTAACAACTTTTAAGTCTGTTTTACAAGGAGATGAGATCAAGAGCTCAGCATTGTATGTGTTAAGTTTGAATTCTTTATTTAATATTCAAGTGGAGATGTTAAGTAGGCCATTATGTTTACGTGCCTAGAATTCAAGGATTCAAGAGGAGATGCCAGGGATAGAAGTGCAGGGTGGTGGAGTAGAAGGGGATAACTTTCATTACCCATGTAAATGCCATGGGTAATGACGAAATAAAACAATTTAGATAATGTATGTAGAACATAATGGGTAGCCCAGGATCCTGAAGCATGCTAATATTAGAAGACTGGGCACAGAAATAGGAGTCAGTGGAAAAGAACAAGAAGAGGCAACCAGTGGAGGTGGGACTATCCAAAATGTCTACTACTGTAGAAGCCAAGACAAGTGTTTTAGCTACTATGACTGTGTAGTACAAACACTCCAAAACTTAGGTCATTTAAAAATAAATCTTGTTCTGTGAATCAGCAATTTGATCCGGGGTCTTACTTTACTCTGCTCTAAGTGTAAGCTGGGATAACTTGAAGGCAAAAGGCTGAAATTATATGGAAACTTTTCCCCTCAAGTGCCTGGTGCCTGTATTGTGAAGATTCACACTTGGAAGCTGGGCCAGCTGGAGTTTCTAAATCCTCCTCTCTATCGCTAGGTAGTATCTCCATGTAATCACTCCAGAATGGTGGCTTTAGGGTAGCTGTACTTCTTACATACCTGTTTTGGCTCCCAAGTTGTGTGATCCCAAGACAGAGCCAGGTGGGTACATATCAGCCTTCATTACTTAGTTTTACAGGCCATACAACATTGAATCCACCACATTTTATGGGATAATGCAACTTAAAAGGTCCAAAGAAGCTGAGGAGAGGAAACAAAAATCCATCAGTCAATGGAGGAAACATAGACCCCCATCTCTCAATATTACTTTGTTGGGATATGTTGGTTTAGTCATCTTTGGAAAATATAATCTGCTGCAACTAACAAAGTAGATCAAGTAAGGTAAGCAGTATTGGATTCCATTAAGATAGCTAGTAAGGTGAGCCTATTAGAATGAGCTGTGAATTTCCCAACTGTTAGAGATCACTCATAACCCTAGCCTGATCAATGGAAAATAATGAAAACAGCTTGGGGAAGAGTAAAAAGGAAGGGCAAGAATCTGCAATTATAAGAATAGTGACTATAGATGATTTTTTTAAAAATTATACTTTAAGTTCTGGGGTATATGTGCACAACGGGCAGGTTTGTTACATAGGTGCCAATATGTTACATGTACCATATTGGTTGGCTGCACCCATCAACTTGTCATTTACATTAGGTATTTCTCCTAATGCTATCCTTCCCCTAGCTCCCGAACCCCCGACAGGCCCCAGTGTGTGATGTTCCCCTCCCTGTGTCCGTGTGTTCTCATTGTTGAACTCCCACTTATGAGTGAGAACATGCGGTGTTTGGTTTTCTCTTCTTGTGTACCATTCGGGATATAGGCATGGGCAAAGATTTCATGACTAAAACACCAAAAGCAATGGCAACACAAGCCAAAATAGACAAATGGGATCTAATGAAACTAAAGAGCGTCTGCACAGCAAAAGTAGATGACATTTAAGAAAATTTTCTGTTGAAGGGAACTAAGAAATACAGCAGCAGATGAAAGATATATAAGTTAAAGGAAATTCATTTTTTAAAGAGGGAATATTTGCATGCTGATGGAAATCATTTAAGAGAGAGATAATAAATTGCAAAGAAAAAAGGGAGTATGGTGGGCACAGAGTCTCAGGGTACTGCATAGTTTAAGATATTGGACTTTAATGGGAGAGGAGATCTTTTTTTTTATTTAAAAAAAAATTTGTCTTTTTTTCTCAAGTTCAGTAATTTGCCCAGAGAGTGGACTCTATTGATAACCGCCTGAGGAAAGTAAGTTACAGGTAAAAACAAAATTATGGTTTTGTGAATACAGTGGAAGAAAATACAGCCCAAGAAGTTAGCAACATTATTTTTGAGTCATGTATTTTTAAGTTCAAAATTAAGGTAAAAGCCATCACAGGCAAGATTAGACAATTATTCCTTCATTTTAATCATATTTCTGCTTCTAATGATCTGAAAGAAATTCTACTCTTCCACAATTTAACTAATCTTCACTCTACTGTTTAGTTCTTGTATTTTTTAAAAAACATAGCTGAAAGAATACTAATTGAGTGCCAGGCAAATTAGATTTATAACAACAAAAAACTTGACATTTTTAGATACATCTCTATTTGATCTAAATTATTAGGCTCTAAGAGAATGTGTAAATTTAAGGTAATACTAAATTGATATTTTTCAACACTTTATATTTTACTTCATATGCAATATACTTTTTACAATATTAATTTTGAATTAATCTTATGGTTTATGTGTGAATGTTAAGTTTTATAAATTAAAAAAGTTTGCCTCTTATCTTTTTCTTTTTTTCCTGTTGAGTCTTGAAAGCCTATAGCAGAAGCCTGCGCTTAGTGATGGTACTGAAGACAATGTATCAATATACAAAGTTTTATTTTTTATAATGATTATGTCACTTTATTTGTTATGTTCAGTACTTTTTTAGGTATTTGAAATCTGTTAAGTCATTTTATGATGACAACAATATGTGATAGGTGCTATTTCTGCAGTGATTTAAACGGAGATATAAAGGGGTTAACTAAGGTCAAACAGCTAGTAATTTTGGATGCAAAGTCTATGATATTAACCACTTATCTGAACTGTCTCTCTGCTAATGATGAAGTTATTGATGATAATGCTTAAGAAAATGATGTTGAGAATTGTGTAGCTGAGAGTTAATTAAATAAATGAGGCTTACTTCTAAGAATAAATTACTTAAAGCAAGGTAAAAGAGAGTTATGCAGAGGAAATTAGCTTGCAAAGTGAGTTAATGCCTCCAGAACACAGGGTGAGTGACAGGGGATGAGACTAAGTAGCTACATTTTCTGAAATGAAGATATGAAATACAATCTGTTTCATGCTATTAATGTTGTATAACCGATCAAAATTTGATTATTAAACAAAATCAACCTCTGAGTCTGAGTTCAAAGGCCAGAAAAGATCAATGTCCCAGCTAAAACAATCAGGCAGTAGGAGTTTCTTCTCACTCAAACATTTTGTTCTATTAGTTCTTCAGTTGGTTGGATGAGGCCCACCCAAATTAGGGAAGGCAATCTGCTTAACTCAGTCTACTCACTCAAATATTAATCTTATCAAGGAACACCCCTGCTGACACATACAGAATAATGTTTGGCCAACTGAATGACCACCTCCATGGCTCAGTTAAGCTGATACACAAAATTAACCATTACAATAATAGGGTGGCTTCATTAAAAATTAGGAATGTTTTTGCTAATTATCATGCAATTATAAGACAAATGTATGTAAATTCACAAATTTATTTTACCTACAGTTAAATGAATAGATCTTGTACACAATTCAATGTATATACCTGTGAAACCACTATCCCAATGAAGAAAAAGAAAATTTTTGTCATTCCAGAGAGTTCACTCAGGCCCTCTTCCAGTCAATCGCCACACTCCTAGGTAACCACTTTTCTCCTTTCTATTATTACAGATGTGTTTTGCCTCTTCTTGAACTTCATGTAATGGCACTATGCAATATGCAATTTTTGGTTAATGGCTTCTTTCATTTAACATAAGGTTTCTGAGATTCTTACAGGTTATGCTATATATTAAATCATTCCTTTTTATTACTGAATAGTATTTCATTGTAAGGATACGTGGCATTTTAAAAAATTGGCTGGGCGCTGTGGCTTATGCCTGTAATCCTAGCACTTTGGGAAGCCAAAGCGAGTGGATCACGAGGTCAGGAGATCGAGACCATCCTGGCTAACACGGTGAAACCCCATCTCTACTAAAAATACAAAAAAAAAAAAAAAAATAGCCAGGCATGGTGGCGGGTGCCTGCAGTTCCAGCTACTTGGGAGGCTGAGGCAGGAGAATGGCGTGAACCCAGGGGTGAAGCTTGCAGTGAGCTGAGATCGTGCCACTGCACTCCAGCCTGGGCAATAGAGCAAGACTCCATCTCAAAAAAAAAATCTATTTATCAGTTGACAGACATTTAGGTTGTTGCCAGTTTGGGGCTATAATGAAGAAAAGCCTCTGTGAACCTTTTGGTACGTGTCTTCTTGTACACATACATTTACATTTATCTCAGGTACATAAATAGGACTGAAATTGCTAGGCCATAACTTACACATATGGTTAAAAGGAAATACAAAACAGCAAAAAAAAAATTAATTCATTTAAATGTCTGCCAACAATATATGACACTTCAAGACATTCTATATGCAAAATTTGATGTCAACATTTTTAATGTTAGTCATTTGACCTAGGTGAAACGGTATCTCATTATAGTTAAATAACTATATTCTCAATAATCAAAATTGATGTGTTGATGTATTTGACTGACAAAAAGAACTTGCAGTACTTGCAGTATCTAGTAAGAATTTCTTGAATTACTGATATGGTTTGGCTGTGTTCCCACCCAAATCTCATCTCGAATCATAGCTCCTATAATTCTCATGTGTTGTAGGAGGAACCCAGTGGGAGATAATTTAATCATGGGGGTGGTTTCCTCCATACTGTTAGCATGATAGTGAATGAGTCTCATGAGATAAGAGGGTTATGTAACGGGAAACCCCTTTCACTTCACTCTCATTCTTTTCTTGCCTGCTGCCATGTAAGACATGTTTTTTTTGTCTTCTGCCATGACTGTGAGGCCTCCCCAGCCATGTGGAACTGCGAGTCCATTAAATTTCTGTTCCATGAACTATTTATATATCTAGGAGACATGGTAGGAGGTAAGTAGATCATAGGGACGGTTTCCCCCAAGCTGTTCTCATGGCAGTGAGTGAGTTCTCATGGGATCTGATGGTTTTATAAATGTTTGACAGTTCCTCCTTCACATACTCTCTCTTGCCTGTCACTGTGTAAAATGTGCCTGCTTCCCCTTCTGCTATGATTATAAGTTTTCTGAGGCCTCCCCAGCCATGTGGAACTGTGAGTCAATTAAATCTCCTTTTTAAATAAATTACTGCTGACACATACAGCAGTCTCAGGGAAGTTCTTTATAGCAGTGCGAAAAAAGATTAACACAGGAAATTGGTACCAGGAGTGGGGCAGTGCTATAAAGATAACCTGAAAATGTGCAAGTTACTTTGGAAATGGGTAACAGTCAGAGGTTGGAACAGTTTGAGAGGCACAGAAGACAGATGTGGGAAAGTTTGAAAATTCTTAGGGACTTGTTGAATAGTTTTCACCAAATGCTGATAATGATGTGGACAATGAAGTCCAGGCTGAGGTGATTTCAGACGGAAATAAGGAACTTCTTGGGAACTGGAGCAAAGGTCACTCTTGCTATGCTTTAGCAAAGAGACTGGCAGCATTTTGTCCCTCTCCTAGAGATCTGTGACATTTTAACTTGAAAGAGATTATCAGAAATTGGAACTTATGTTTAAAAGGGAAGCAGAGCATAAAAGTTCAGAAAATTTGCAGTCTGATGATGTGATAGAAAAGAAAAACTTGTTTTCAGAAAAGAAATTGAAGCCAGCTGCAGAAATGTACATAAATAATGAGGAACCAAATGTTAATCACCAGGAAAATGGGGAAAATGTCTCTAGGCCATGTCAGAGAGCTTGATGGCAGCCCCTCCCATCACAGGCCAAGAGGCCTAGGGGAAAAAATGGTTTCATGGGTCAGGCTCAGGGCCCTGCTGCTGTGTGCTGCCTCAGGACTTGGTACTCTGCATCCCAGCCACTCCAGCTCAAGCCATGGCTAAAATGGGCCAAGGTACAGCTTGGGCCATTGTTTCAGAAGGTTCAAGCCCCAAGCCTTGGAGGCTTTCATGTTGTGTTGAGCCTAGAGGGGCACAGAAGTCAAGACTTCAGAGGATCTATGGCAATGCCTGGATGTCCAGGTTGAAATCTACTGCAGGGAGAGAGCCCTCATGGAGAGGCTCTGCTAGGGCAGTCTGGAAGAGAAATGTGGGGTTTGAGCCCCCACACAGAGTCCCCACTGGGGCACTGCCTAGTGGAGCTGTGAGAAGAGGGCCACCACCCACCAGACCCCAGAATGGTAGATCCACTAACAGCTTGGATTTTGCACCTGGGGAAGTCACAGACACTAAACACTGAACATGAAAGCAGCCAGGGGGGAAGGGGTTGTGTGCCCTGCAAAGCCACAGGGATAGAGCTGCCCACGGCTGTGGAAGCCCACCTCTTGTATCAGTGTGCCCTGGATGTGAGACATAGAGTCAAAGGAGATTATTTCAGAGCTTTAAAATTTAATGACTACCTGCTAGATTTTAGGCCTCCTGGGACCTGTGGTCCCTTTGTTTTGGCCAGTTTCTCCCATTTGGAATGGGAGCATTTTCCCCATTCCTGTACTCACATTGTATCTAGGAAGTAACTTATTTGCTTTAGATTTTATGGGCTCCTAGGTGGAAGGGACTTGCCTTATATCAGATGAAACTTTGGACTTGGACTTTTGGGTTAGTGCTGGAATAAGTTATGACTTTGAGGGACTGTTGAGAAGGCATGATTGGTTTTCAAATGTAAAAAGAATGTGAGATTTGGAAGGGGCCAGGTGGAATGATATGGTTTGGCTCTGTGTCCTCACCAAAATCTCATCTTGAATTGTAATCTCCATAATCCCCACATGTTGAGGAAGGGCCCTGGTGGGAAGTGATTGGATCATGGGGGCAGTTCCCGCATACTGTTTTCATGATAGTGAGTTCTCATGAGATCTGATGGTTTTATAAGTGTTTGAGAGTTCCTCCTTCACACACTCTCTCTCTTGCCTGCTACCATGTAAGACATGCCTTCTTCCCCTTCCACCATAATTGTAACTTTCCTGAGGCATCCCCAGCCATGCATAACTGTGAGTAAATTAAACCTCTTCTCTTTATAAGTTATCCAGTCTCAGGGAAGATCTTTATAGCAGTGTGAAAATTGACTAATAGAGCCATATAGGCTTTTCTAAGACTCTCATCTAAAGTATATCCCTCATTTTACAGATATGAAAACATAGTCCTATGGATATTAATCATTACAATATTATTATAACTAACACTTATGTAATTATACTATATATGTCAAGAACTAGTCTAAAGGATAAATATATATTATCTAAGTTAGCCCTCAAATTGACCCTAAGGGTAGTAACTTTATTACCACTATTTTAAAGGTGAAAAAACTGACTCATAAACAGCTCAAGTGACTAGTCCAAGGTCTTACACTGAGTTTCTAATGAATTGGTACTAGGGCTCAGGTGTTAAAATTTTCAGTCTACTAATTTTTCAGTGACATGCTAGATGCAGTTCTCTGATTATTGATTTAGCGCCCAGAAAAGGATTGGTACATTATGACCAGCCACTTAAGCAGAGGTAGAAAAAGGATGAAACCTAGGGGAATAGGTTATTCAATAATGAAATTTAAAAAGAAAAAAATGTTCTAGGGAAAGATAAGTATACTGGTTTTTATTTGCTTGAAAAGTTCTCCCATATCCATTTTCTAATATCAGCACTGTCTTATCTTGTTACAACAGGAATGTTTACATGAGTTAGACTTTTCAGATTCAGTAAATAGCCCATCTGTGATCACATGACCTAGGAGCCACAGTCCTCTACTGGAATCAATTTTTAGGTGCTGGGGGAGAGCAGCTTTCTTCTGCTTCCTCCTAAGATTCTGAATAGGCAAACTTGAATTTGATGCTCACAATACTCAACTTTCTCTCAAAGTAAAGAAACCCTATCTGCGAGATGTAACCAAAGAACTACAGAGAAAAATGAAAACCTGGGAAGGTAGAAGTGGGGTTCAGGGGTGTGGGTGAAAGCTCCAGCTATGGAAACCACTACTTCTCTTTAATTTTGCTTATGCTAGTTCATTTGGGAATTCAGCCATTTGTCATTGCCATAGTACTAGTTAATACAATAGAAAATCAGACAAGCCGAGACCCTTGGGAAAGCAGTTGGCTGTCCTAACGTTAAACTGGTATAAGCATAAAAATCTAATTACCAGCCAAATACAGAGCCCTAAGAAGATCTAGTTCAGGAGATTCAGGACTGAGGCATAGATGCGGGAATTCTAAGTAGAATCACATAAACCCCAAATTCTGGGTAGGAGAGCTGGAAAAGAATGCAGCCCCTATGGCATTAACCAGTATATTCCTGTGGTTTGAAATTACAGTTAACACTACCCTGAGACATTAGTTACTAAACGGTAGAAGGGAAAGCCCACAGACATTTAAAATCGGAAAGACAAGAGGCTATTTTTATATCCACCTAGCAATGCCGCAACAAATCAATCCCAAGAGAACAAAGGAGCATTTGGAATTGCACAAAGCTACTGCAATTCAATTAACTGTGAAGAGGAGATAGCCCTACCACTAAACACCTGTGTGTACTTCTGGGAAATAGCTGAAGCAGGTAACAGCATGTTATATATTACCATATTAATGATTGTACATCATTTAAAAATATAAACAAAAAGAACCGTCTTTGACTTCCAACCTGATTTTAAAAAATAATTCTCAATAGTATTATAAAAGCCAATTTAAAATAAATATTAAATTTCCCTGAACTGGTTTCATTACAGCAAACATTGCTTATAGATATGGCATAAAATTATTCCAGACTCAACTACCTGTATGCTCATGGAATGCTTCCAAACTTACCTCTTTTCATCTATTTTAGCTCTTCCCACACACAGATTTCCTACTATCCTGACATTGCCTCTGACTGGCTTATATTGGCTTTGTTTTTTCTTACTTTGGCCTATTTGAATTTATGGCCAGTGTTTACTTTGGTTCCTTTCCTTATGAGTAGTAAATGCCAGCTCTACAATGCTGTTTCTATTCAGTCATCAGCAGTTCTGACTTTTTTGCTAATTCAAGAGAGAAAACAGATTGAATAAATATGAATGTAGACTTACAGAAAAATCCAAGCACAATATAAAACTAGAAATGAAGATTTGCTAATAAGACAACTTGTACTGTTACAGACAATAGCTGAAGAATGTGAGAAAGAAAAATCAAAAGCACACAAATGAGACTGTGCAGTGAAGAGGCCACAGAGACAACCATACTGTCTTTTTGTATCACAATAAGCAAAGTAAGTAGAAATTTCATTCCTTTAAATTTATAATTTTTAAGAATTAATTCAGACTATAAATTCATTCTTTCTAATGGCTCAAAATGCTTCTATTGGTGTTTTAAATTTGTTCCCTCTTGGAGGTTATTGGGGAAAAAATACGTCTACAAGCTTTTAATAGAACGAAGAGTGTATCTGTCAGCTCTACCCACGAATTTAGGCATTGGTGCCTCTGATCATCAATTTACTTTAGCTTTGCTCCTGACTCACAAGAATGTTAAGTACTCAAGGGATTAAATGCTAGTCCCTTGGGGTTCTGTACACAAATAGGCTGATTTGGTCTAGTAATCAAATGAGATTTGTTTTACAAGAAGATACAAGCACAATTACTGAAACTAAACACAAATAGAAAGAGGAGCTGGTTACCAAGCCAAACAGAATGTCAGTGTTTGAGAACAAGGAGATAGACACTATCTATAATAAGTCATCCACTATGAATTAGACAAATTTCTAGCTATTTTCAGGAGAAAATCCTTGGCTAATCCTCTTTTTAAATAGTAGTCATTTCATAAAATGCATTGATATAACCCTGATTGAATTCCTACTTCTTTATCACTCCCTACAAACAAACATACTACAGATTAATTCAGCAGTATAAGATTCCCCAGAAGAGTTTATAACTGAAAGAAAAACAATATACCCCCAAAAGGGGGAGAAATATTGGAGAAATATAAACAAGTCTTTTCATCCTAATTGGCTTTCCAATATCTTCTATTTTCCTTTTTTTTTTTTTTTTTTTTTTAATTTATTTTTGAGACAAGGTTTTGCTCTGTCACTCAGGCTGGAGTGCAGTGGTGCAATCTCGGCTCACTGCAACCTCACTGCTCAAGCAATCATCTCACCGCAGCCTCCCAAGTAGATGGGATTACAGATGTGTGCCACAATGCCCGGCTAATTCTTTTGTTGTTTGTTTTGTCTTGTTTTTAGAAACAGCGTCTCAGTATGTTGCTCAGGCTGTTCTTGAACTCCTGGGCTCAAATCATCTCCCACCTCAGCCTCCCAAACTGCTGGGTTTACAGGCATGACCAACTGCACCCAGGTGAAAATTTTCTATTTTTCTAAAACTATTTCTATTTTTCTAAACTGTTTGTCCACTCTAGGAACTGTTAGAGTAAAAAAGATATAAGGTTTACATATAAATCTCATAAGAAAGCTAGATTATTTAGTGATAATTTACATCATATATTAGCCTAGTGCCATGTATATTGAAGGGTTTATAAAGTAATATACAATTTTGTAATAGTGTGGTTTATAAATACAAAAAAACCCCCATAAGTAGTAATAAAAGAATAGACTAAGACCATCAAAGTGACGTTTCCAAAGTAGAAACTAAGAATACCTAGAGGCATTAATTATTCTTGGTGTCTTTCTGAAATTCTTTTAGATTTGTTGTTGTTGTAAGGTATTTAAGATAATTTAGAAATTTCTAAATAATTATTTTTAAACTTTGAAAATGTACAAAATCTATTTTAGAGCTTCATAAAGAGGGAAACTTTAAAGGATCACGCTACTTTTTCTAAATCTCAACCAATAACTATACAAATATCTACGGATATTTGACTAGAAAATTTAAATCCTCATTTATTTCAGTCAGTTGTTCTTGCATAGTAATGGGTTAAATATTTTTATGTAGTATATTTTAAAAGCCCACTTAACATTTTCTTTTAGATTATTTTAAAACAATTTAGGAAATCTCAAATACTAAGGTTAGTTTGTTTGCTTTTTAAGTTTAACTTTGTGTACATTTTAATAAGTGACAAGCTTGAATTTCTTCCACAAAATTACAAAGTATTAGAAAAGTTTCTAGACTTATGTATTTGAAATTCTGTATAATACAACTTTTTTTCAACAAATCCTTCCTTCTGAACTCACTGTCAAAACTTCGCTTATACTTTGAAGAGACTGGTTGTGTTTACTTTTTGTCAAAAATATTCTATTTATTATACAACAAAATAAAACACTTACTGTAATAGAAAGATAAGCAGGTAGGAAACACTCTCATTTGTAAATTAGCATCTTGTCTGTAAACTCAAAAAAAGAAAAAAAAAAATTTGGGGCCGGGCACGGTGGCTCACGCCTGTAATCCCAGCACTTGGGGAGGCTGAGGCGAGTGGATCACGAGGTCAGGAGATCGAGACCATCCTGGCTAACATGGTGAAACCCTGTCTCTACTAAAAATACAAAAAATTAGCCAGGCGTGGTGGCGGGTGCCTGTAGTCCCAGATACTTGGGAGGCTGAGGCAGTAGAATGGTGTGAACCCTGGAGGTGGAGCTTGCAGTGAGCCGAGATCGCGCCACTGCACTCCAGCCTGGGTGACAGAGCAAGATTCCGTCTCAAAAAAAAAAAAATTGATACATTTTTTGCAGCAAACATCTATGTGTTCAGATGACTGTCATGGTCTTGATCTATCTCATTACTAAGTATTGGAATTTTTTGTGCTATTTAAGATTATGAAATCTATAAATCTCTTTAATGGGCAAAATCTGATGAAAGCAAATCAACTCTTTTGGATTGTGTAATACTCTGGCAGGCTACCTTGCTTGTTACCTAAGGTCATGATGCTTGATTATCCGATAAATGGCCCAAGAAAGAGCACCAGTGTCAATCCTTATAGTAAATATTTTAAGTATAAATCTGTTTCTTATTTTTAGAAAAAAAATTACCAACATAATATTTTTAAACCTCAATGGGTTTTCCTTGAACATCAGCAAATTGAAAAAACACACTAGGACAATTGGGAAAAAAAAATTACTAGAGAAGAAAGATGTTTAAAGAAGTCTGAGCAGAAAGAGGGAAAGAGAATAAAATAAACCCCGAATATGGGTGACATTCTCTTAGTACAAGATTCAATACAACATTCAACTGCAGAATGAAAAATTGGTACATAAATTTTGGAAATGAAGTTTAAAATAAAAGTAGAAGGCAGGGATAATCATAGTTGAGGGGAAAAAATATGGTGGATATTTTACTTTTTCACTTGGATTAGATTTTATCAGAATGAGTACTCGTATGTGCATACGCAAAATACAACACACAATTTAATTTTATCCAGTAACAAGTACTCTTTCACTTAGCATGATGCTTTGGAGATTCATCTGCATTGCTGGGTATATTAATTTCCTATTGTTGTCGTAACAAAATATCACAAAATTACTGGCATAAAACAACACAAATTTATTTATATATTTTTTTACACTTCTAGGTGAGAAATTTAAAATACTTTTGCTGAAATCAAGGTGTCAGGAGGCTGGTTTCTTCTACAGGCTCCAGGGGAGTATCCATTACCTGCTGCCTTCAGATTTCAGATGCTTATAGCATTCCTTGGCTCCTGTTTGTGTCATTTTAATCATTTTATCATTGTTTCTGTTGTCACATATTTCTCCACACCTTTTTTCCTCTCTCTGATTTCCTGCCTCCCTCTTATAAGAACCCCTGTGATTACATCAGGCCCACCAGATAATCCAAGATGATGTACCCAGCTAAAAATCATTAATTTAATCACATCTACAAAGTTTAATTTTCCAGATAAAGTAACATCACAGGTTCTAGGGATTAGGACATGGACATCTTTGGAAAGAAGGGAAGGCATTACTCAGTCTACCATGTTTCACATATCAGTAGTGAATTCCTTTTCATTGTTGAGTAATATGTATTATTGCATAGATTTATCTCAATGTATTTATCCATTCACCTGTAGGTGAATGTTTACATTCGTTTTTGTTTGAACATAAAGTTTGCAATTTTCTTAGGAAGACATCTAGGAATGAGATTCCTACTTTGTAAGGTAAGTATGTATTTAATTTTATATACAACAGTCTAACTCTTTTCCAAATTGCCTGTACTATTTTCCATTCCCTCCAGCAAAGTATAGGAATTCCACTTGCTCAATATCCTCACCAGCAATTCAAATTCTCAGGTTCTGTTTTGCTTTGTTTTGTTTTTCTGTCATCTGTTTGTTCACAAGTCTTTCAGGTGTACGGTGGTATCTACTGGATTTTAACTGCATTTCTCTGATGGAGCTCTCTGCACTTTACCATGCAAGGTGATATACAAAGGGAGCCTGTCTGGAGAAAGCAGAATCAATAAAATGGAAACTAGAGATACAGAGAGAATAACCTCTGAGTTTCCTCTAATCATTCCTTCCTTTCTTCCCTCCCTTCCTCCCTCCCTTCTTTTCTTTTTTCTTTTCTCCTTTCCTTTCCTTTCCTTTCCTTTCCTTTCCTTTCCTTTCCTTTCCTTTCCTTTCCTTTCCTTTCCTTTCCTTTCCTTTCCTTTCCTTTCCTTTCCTTTCCTTTCCTTTCCTTTCCTTTCCTTTCCTTTCCTTTCCTTCTTTGGTTCTTTCTTTTTCCTTCGTCTCTCTCCCTCTCTCTCTCTGTTTCTTTGTGCTTTCGTTTCCTCAGACCCGTGCCTTAGGTTCTGAGGTCTATCAATTTACTGCCCGTGATTTTGTGAAATTGATACCTTTAATTCCTATAATGAACACAATTTTGTTTGTAAAAGCTGGTTTAGGGAGGTTTATAGATTTGCCCAAAGGTACATTTATGTCTATGTGATACCAAAGACTATGCTTTTTCAACTTCACTAAGCCACCTCAAATAACTTTTTGGAGAATATTATTTTGTCCTTCATCTAATGTCTCTATTTATACATTACACTAACTCATAATTCTTTTTTTAAGAAAAGGGTTCTGTCATTAGGAAAGGTAACACATGAATAAAAGAAGAGATATTTAGAGACCAAGAAACAGGGATACAAATACCAAAGATGTCCAAAAAGAGGAGATGGTAGGTTGAGGGTTACTCATGGTCTAGAGGTGAAGTTATAAAATTATGAACTGGGATATTTTGATAGCAAGCTAATTTTATTTATTTATTATAAAATTATATCATAGAAAAATTAGCATTTATATATTAAAACTGTTTAAATAAAGAAGTATATATTAAACTCAGGAGGTATAGAAGCACAGAGGCAGAAGGTATAGATTGAAATGGCAGGTCTACATACCACTTTCCATGTGTTTCTTTTCCTTCCTTCCTTTTTTCTTTCTTTCTTTCTTTCTTTCTTTCTTTCTTTCTTTCTTTCTTTCTTTCTTTCTTTCTTTCTTTCTTTCTTCTTCCTTCTTTCTTTCCTTCTCTTTCTTTCTCTCTCTCCCTCTCTCTTCTTTCTCTTTCTTTCTTTCATCTTTCTTTTCTTTCTTCCTTTTTTCTCTTTCTTTTCTTTCTCTCTTTGTGCTTTGGTTTCCTCAGTAATAAAATGGAGATAATAGTACTAATTACCTCTTAGAGTTGTTTTGATTATTAAATGTGTTGATATCTACCAAGCACTTAGAATAACATCTACTGCATACTAAGTATTTTATATATGTTGAATAAATAAAGGTTTGCATAGCTAAACCTAACTGCTAATGGTGAGGCAGGAAAAAATATGAGGTCAAGGGCTCAGTCTTATTCAGTGACTAAAATAAACTAGGCATAGAACAACTATTTTTTGATGGTAGAATTTTTTTCAATAATTCTTCTTTTTAAGAAACAAAGTAAATAATTTTTGCTAATTTATTTTTTGAAAGCATTAACTTTAAAATTATTATTTTTGAAGTGTTTGACCTTGATTATCCAAATGAATACTACTTTAGTTAAATGTATTAATATGCTATTTTGCTTCCTAACTTTCACCCATAAAATATAATCATATTTTATCTTTGAATTTTAGTCATGTGAACAATATCACTAATCACATAGACAGTAACAGGCTAAAAATTTTAAGAACTTTACTAATAATATAGGTAAAGATAAATCATTTCATAATCCAATATACTAAATATTTCCCCAAGTGGAATCTGGGAGGAAATTTGGAGCATATATCAATGCTTTCAAGCAAATGGATTAAGATAAAAAACATTGAAATAATGCACTGTTGAATATAATTTTGAACTAAATTATGTTGATCTTTACTTAAGTTGATATTTTCTGTGCTTTCTTGTTTTCAATAAACATGTTAATTTTACAATAAAAATACGCATGTAAAAACATACACCTATGGATACACACACGCACCCATACATTAACTTGGCTGTTATTATGCTGAAAAATCATTAACCATCATTACCTTAACAAATCCTATTTCCAATGAGCTAGTGAGACTTGATTCTATCACAATCATTCCAGTTGACAATCAGCTCTGCAAATTTGAATATCTGCTTTTCTAACTTTGATTTTAGAGGCTCATATTTCCATTCATTATTTATTTTCTTTGTGCATATTTTTTCTTTTTAATTGAGGTATAGTTTACCATAAGTGAACGCTTTAACAAATTTATATATATTTATTCATATGCTCTAATTAACCACCTGCCACATTTTAGATATATTTCTAGCTTCCCAGCAGGCCCCCAGTCAATAATAACACAGCACTCCTGAGATAATGGTCCCGGAATTTTAATACACGTTGCCTTTCTCTCTCTAAGTATCAAAAAAACTTCTTATGGTGGCTTATGTTTAACTGCTTAATTGAATGACTGTCTTTTGAGGTAAGGCCAGACTTCCTACTTCAAATGAATTCTATATACTTCATGTAGCACACACGTAATTCACACTGTTCCAAACATATTCACTAATTTTATGAGAATTTAAGTTTATTTTATAATGCTCACAAAATATAACTGCCTCCCTTTTTTAAGGGTGTCCTTTGCTCCCAAAACACAACTGAGGGATGCTAACAGCCAGTTTTGAAACTAGCTTATCCCAAGGCTCTCCAAACTTGGTAACAATATGTCTAGCTGATATCTGACTAGATTATAAAAAATAAGCAGGCTGAAATTTATAGGCATGATTTATATTAACTTAAATGTGATCTATAAAATAATGGTCAATGTACAAAAGAGAACCATTTCTGATAAACAGTCAAAGATGGTTGTGATGAGATAATAAAAGGATTTAAAGCATAAATGAAAAAGCTGAGTTATAACTTAATAATAATTTTATAAATATGAAATATTATCAGAAGATGGAAAAGTGTTTTTCACATTTTTACTGAAGCCAGAACCAAAATAATGATGATGATAATAATAATCTGAATCTGAAACATGAGCACTTTAAATTTGAAATACTTAAAATATCCCTCACAGTGAGAATTGTTAAATATACAGAACCTCTCTCCAGAGAGCTATAAATGCAGAAAACGTATCAATCTGTCAGAGATAGTTTCAGTACTTTCTGGAAACTGAATAATGACCTCTAGAGATGTCTTTTATGCCTAAGATATTTCAGTTCCTTTTTGATAACATGTGTTAAAATATTTTTAAAGCATAATTTTAAAAAAGTTTATCTCCAGAAAATTAATGTTTAAGAATCAGCTTACATATCAATCTTTCTTTACCTTGTTAATAACCAATTCATAGAATATTTATATAAAACATATTTACAAGAAGTCACAACTAGAAAGATCAAAGTTTCAGATTTTGCAAAACAAAAGAGATGCTTTTGTTTGGTATAAACTTAAAACCAACTTATTCTTCAAACAGAAAGTGTCACATGTACTGTTAAATTTAAGCAAAACTGAACTTGACAATCTTTAGGAAAGTATATACAATACTATTGCTTTGCCTTACAAAGAAATTTTACAAAAAATAGCTAATTCCTGATCTAGTAGTAGATAAAATGCTATAATGTTAATAGAAAATTGTGATTGTTTAAATATTAATGAGTTACATATTTTGTAGCTGCAGATTAAAATAATCTTTATCATATGAAAGTACTAATTATTTCAATAATTATTTTGATTAACAATAAGTTAGAAATTTGCTTTATGGAACAGATTAGGAAGAAAGAAAATGAATGAATGAAAAAGTTTATAAGGCAGATACATGCAATTTCTCTAAAAAAAAAAACTTATTATACAAGTGTATTCTTATGCAAAGATACATCGTGGAGCTGTTGTCTTCAGTCCTGAAAACAACCGCAGGGCATCCTAAAAAAGAGATGAAAACCAATTATGAAATGTTGCATCAAGGATTGGTATGGCAGAACTGAAAAATGTCAACAATATAAGCAAAATTTTTGGACCACATACACAAAAAGAAATAACATATACAGGCATCCCTACAGCCAGTGAAACCTGTAACTATAGTAATTTCCTAGTGACATTCTATCAAAAACATGACTAAAGTTATCTCTAATAGAGGGGCCTTCTTGTAAACTCATCAACCTATCAGAATTCTGGACTGAATATGTGCATTTGTGGAAATGAAATTAAGGATGAGATTTATATAATGGACTTCTAAAAACCAAAACTCTGTATCTATCCTTTTATTGTCTCTGGGGTTAAAAAAAATACAGTTTTTAAATTTAATAATAGATATGAATACAAGAATTCTTAGGTGAATAATATTATTTATGACATTTCAGTTGGAAATAAAAATAGCATGTCAGAATCCTGCTGGAGGTCTTTACTACTCTGTGAGGGAAAACTGTCTGTAGGTAGCAAATTCTAATAACCATATAAATTTCATGTCCTGTCTTTGAATGACATATTTTTCCTGGATTATATTCTTAAGTCCTTTTTTCTACTAAATATATCCAATACTGAGTGGTTCAGTTCAACCCCATAAAATTCTAGAACTAAATGTTTTTCATTAAACATGTTGGATTCAATCGGTGGAGAATCATAAGAAATTATTACAAGTGGATTTTTAAAGAAGACTGACTCGTGTTCAAAATTATCCTCATTCAAATGGGTTAGAATGTTTCAGATACTCAAGGAAGATAATGAAATAACCTGAAGCCTTTAAAAGCAGTGATATTTTATTTTTTTATATTAGAAAAATCTGCAAGAATGATTTGATACTCAATGAGTCCCACAAGGTAGAAAAGTGGGTCCAAGGAACAACTAACACCCTTAGAGGATAATATCCCCAAATTCTTGGCATAACATGGCCAATGACAGATGACTCAAAAGAAAATGTAAAAGCTTCATATTTCATGTAATATAATAATGCTAAACCACAGGAAAATCCTTTTCAACTAATGTTTATGCAGTAATTCCTGGAAGCACAATTCTCACTCTATCTTGACTGTAGGTACAATTTTACTTTATAGAAACTTTTGTCTTTTAAAATATTTTGTCTTAGTACTATTACAGTATCTCTCAATGGCTTAAAGTGCTGCTTTAATCTTTCTAGGTAACATTCTCTTCCTAAATGATGAATTTAACTCAGATCTACAGAAAACAATCTACCCCAGAAACAAACTAATTATGAGAAATGCCAAAAAAATTAAAACACAAACACAATTATAAACAAAGTATGAATTGCAAAAAATAAAATATGGTACAGAAAGTTACATTTTTAGTCCTATAACAACATGATGAATTTCCTTCATTTTATGACAGATGATGACATTGTTAACTTCTACATAGACCCTAATACTGAAAATATTTAAAGTTGTAATCATTGTCATTGAACAAAAGTCTAAATGTTTTTAAGTACATGAAAGAAGTATATAAAAATTGATTATTTCTTTTTATGCAATTTTTTTAGTCTTAAAATATATTTTAAACATTATATAACTTACAGTAACTAATTCACATTGACAAACTTGATATTTACATTTTTACCTACCTTGCTTACCCTAAGATTTTTA
Source organism: Homo sapiens (assembly GCF_000001405.40). Taxonomy (NCBI): domain Eukaryota; kingdom Metazoa; phylum Chordata; class Mammalia; order Primates; family Hominidae; genus Homo; species Homo sapiens. Next base: position 165,493,550 of record NC_000003.12, on the reverse strand, counting down.
TGCCAATAAAAGATTGTTTTCAATTTATAATATTAAATATAAACTTTCTGTTCACTAATCACAAAGAGCAACTGAGTTGAAATATTACTTATAGAATGTAAATTATAATATAATCCTCAATTTAATAAATCTACATATAGTTAAATGTCAATCAATATATGACAAAATACGTGAACCAACCCAACTTACATATTTCACACAATAAAATGTTATACAATTATTTTTTAAAATAAAAATAAATAAAAAATGTAAAATCAAGATACTTGCATGGTTACCATTACATCCTAGGCCTTTATTTTTAATTTAAACTGGAAATTATATTTGACACATAATAACTGCTTTTTAAAAAGTTGTCAAAAAACAGCCTATGAGCAAATGCTAACACCAAAATTCTGTCAGCTCTACGACTACCACCTCCACCCTACGAGCCACCCAATCTTAATTGGTATTGACCCTAGACATGGAAGTTTCTCGGATTGCATAATATGATGCTATTTATGGGCTTACCAGTAATATGAGAGGAAAGACTATATTAATAATATGAGCAGAGGTTTACTATTTTGTTGATTCAATCATTCAGTTCAATTCAGTTCATTTTCTTTTCTTGGTTGTAAAAGTAGTCTTCATACTTTCAAACTGTTCAACATAAACTTTTAAATCACAGACACACAGTTCCTGAAAGAATTTTTATTCTTACATCAAGCCTCATCTAGAAACTACAAATGTCAAAATTATTTCTACTCTGCTGAATCAGCTCAAGAATAAAGTTGCATTTTTTCTCCTAATATACTTGAAGTATTCTAAAGATGTGTTGAATCCTTCAGTGTGAACATTTGGTATGACTTATAAAATCTAATTTACCTTTTAAATCTTTCTAGCATAATGAACTGACAAGTCATGTAATTGTCTGTTTCATAATTTGATGTCCCTGAAATATACACTTATCAATATTTTCAGAAAGCTAACTTTCCAAACAGGAATCGTGGCAAATGGTAATTAAACTATTTACTTTTCTGTAGAAACAACCAGGTTTATATAAACATTGGAAGTCCAGTTGAAATTTTTCAGTTATTCTGACTGGAAATAAACACCTGCAGTTACTCCTGATCCCATGACAAAATCTTTTTGTGAGTGAGAATTGTGTATTGTTATCAGAACCCTAATATAGACAAATGGCTTTTATCTTAGGCTACGTAAAAGTATATTATTGTTTATCAGTTTATTTGATAAATGTTTCTTCTTTAAATCCAAAAAGGAAATTATGGGTTTATTTGTCTTTGAATTATGGAGTCATTTCATTATGACTGAAGTTCAATTCCCAGTCTTTTTGTCCCTTTATTATCATTATAGCTTAGTAAGTGGCTGCAGAAAGAGAACCTGAAAGATATATATATATGTATGTGTGTGTGTATATATATATATATGTGTGTGTGTGTATATATATATATGTATGTATATATATTATTTATTGCCATGGCATCAAAGAGTGGTGGAAATAAAGAAAAACTTAGAAGTAGGTAGAACAGGTACAGTGTTTCCTTACCAAGTTTCTATCTTATGGCCTTCTCTGAACTATTGTTAATTTCCTTTACTTATGCTGACTTCTGATGACAGAAAATATCCTGCTAACCACCATACTCAAGTCTACAATACTGAAGATGTTTCCACTGTATGTATTTGTTATCTATTGCTGTGTAATAAATTTTCTAAAATACCTTGGTTCAAAACAAAACATTTATCATCTCACAGTTCTCTCAGGTCAGGAATCTTGTTTTGCTCAGCGTGGTGGTTCTGGCTCAACATCTCTCAGGAAATTGTACGCCAGTGTCGCAATTATCTCAGAGCACAACTGGGGAAAGATTTCTTCCAAACTCATTCACATGCCTTTTGGATGACCTCAGGTCCTTGCTGGATCCCGGCTGAAAACATCAGTTCTTTGACATGTGTGCACCTTAAAACACTGTAGCTTGATTCCCTCACAACAAGTGAATGAGAATGTAAGAGAAGGCACCCAAACCAGACCACAGTCTTTCATAACCTAATTAGAAATGACAGCCCATCACTTTTGTAATATTTTGTTTATTAGAAACAAGTCATTAAATCAACCACCCTTAAGGGGAAAGAATTACATGACAGTATAAATGCTAAGAGGTAGAGATCTTTAGGAGTCATGTTGGAGGCTGCTGACCATACCCATGTTCCAAAAAAAAAAAAAAAAGGAAAGGAGAATTTTCACTTCATTCCTCAATTAAATGTTATCTTAGAATTAAAACTAAAAATTTACCTTATTTCACAAGTTCCCATATGTGCTCTATCTTGGTTTTAGGAAATGATGGAATATGCTTGGCTTTCATTCTAGAGTGAGGAGAACAGAAAAATATAAAAATACAACAATATAAGTCTCATGAAGAAAAAAATAAAACAGAGTGATAGGATAGCATGATGGGCTGATGAAAGAGAGGCTAATTATTTTGATTAGGCAAGGTTTATATGAGAAAGTACTTTTAAAATGAGAACTGAATAACAAGGAATTAGCCTATGTTTTCATAGGGGTATTGTCAGGAGTAGAATATTGCAGCAACGGGAAGAATAAAGCAAAGATTTAAGGCATGAAAATCCTTGATAGGCAAATTATAGGAGTTTCTCGAGACTGATATAAAGTTAAGAGAACCAGATCTTCTAGAACCTTGTATATCATGGTAAGGATTTAGACTTAGTAGAAGTGCAATGGAAAGCTACTGTGTATTCTGAGTGGTTGAATACCTATTTATATCTATCTATATCTATATATATTTTAGAGACCGTCTCACCCTGTCACTCAAGCTGGACTGCAGTGGCACAATCATAGCTCACTGCAGCCTCAACTTCTAGGCTTCAGTGATCCTCCTGCCTCAGCCTCCCAAGTGGCTAAGAATATAGTCATGCCTCACCATGCCCAGCTATTTTTAATTTTTGTTAGCAGTGGGGTCTTGTTATGTTGCCCGTGCTGGTCTTGCCTCAAGTGATCCACCCACCTCAGCCTCCCCAGTAGCTAGGATTACAGGCACAAGCCACCACTCTGGCTGATACCGATGTACTTTTTAAAAGACCATTCTAGGACTGTGTGGAAATGTATAGAATATGGCCACAAAAGATCACAAAGCTATTTCGATATTCCACATAAAAGACGAAGGTAGCTTGAACTAAGCAGTAAAGATAAAGAGACAGAGGGATATAAAATATATTTTGAAGGTAAAGCAGATAATCTTTACTAATAAATTAGATCTGTGAAGATATGGTGAACGTGTATTTTGGCCTCTAACACATTTGAACATATTTCTATAATTTTGTAATGTGCCAACTATGAGTCTCCTCTGATTAAAAGGAATCTGAAAATGCATTTTCCTACACCTCCTTGGAGGTGAAAAACAGGGTTATAAACTAGGTTATGCCTATCAGGCATACAGAAGACAGACTGGTACAAACCAGCAAAACCTGAGGCAGCAAGTATAAATATGTCATCTTAAAAGCCAGGAGAGTGTGTGTCAAGAAGTAGGGAACGTTCAATTATATTGAATACTTCTGTGGTTTGAATACAAAGAGAATGAAGATGTGAATATTCTTTGGCAACAAAAAAGTCACAACAGACAAGTGGACAGGTGTAATTGGAAGGGTGATTTGAGTCACATATGGCACGGAAGAGACGTTAGGAAGAGGAAATAGTAATTATAAAGATATACATTTTAGATTAAGTTTTGCTATTATAGGATCAGGGAAAATCAATGGTAACCATGGGAAGTTAAAGGCTTATAATAGATTTTTAAAAAGATGAGTAATATTAAAATAATGTTTGTATAATGATCTAGAAAAGAGGAAGATGCTGATCATGCAAAAGAAAGAGGTTGTATTCGTTATGTATTTGTCAGCAACAATGTATTGAGTGATAATTATGTGCCAGGCACTGTTCTACAGATAGAAAATATGGAATTTACTTTCTGTTTTTGGCTGAAAAAATAATAAACAAGGAGTATTAAGTAAAATATATGTTGTATCAACTGATTAAAGAGAAAATAATGCTGGCAATTTAAAATAGAGTGACCAGGTAAGATCTCACTGAGAAAATGAGTAAAGGCCTGAAAAAAATGGAAATCACATTATGTGAACACCTGAGAGAATAACTTTCCAGGAAGAGGGAGGAGCAAGTATAGAAGTCCTAATTCAAGAACGTGCTCGATTGTTTTTTTTTTAACTTAATTATTATTTTCAATTGTTATGGGTGCATAATAAGTGTATATATTCATGGGGTAGATGTGATGTTCTGAGAAAGTCATACCACGTGTAATAATTACATCAGGGAGAAACATTAAGAAGGGCAATGTGGGGCCGGGCGCGGTAGCTCACGCCTGTAATCCCAGCACTTTGGGAGGCCAAGGCGGGCGGATCACGAGGTCAGGAGATCGAGACCAGCCTGGCTAACATGGTGAAACCCCGTCTCTACTAAAATTACAAAAAATTAGCCAGGTGAGGTGGCAGGCGCCTGTAATCCCAGCTACTCAGGAGGCTGAGAGCAGGTGAATGGAGTGAACCTGGGAGGCGGAGCTTGCAGTGAGCCGAGATCTTACCACTGCACTCCAGCCTGGGTGACAAAGTGAGACTCCGTCTCAAAAAAAAAAAAAAAAAAAAAAAAAAACAAGGGCAATGTGGCTGAGGATAAATAAATCCGAACAAGGGCACAACATCAAAGAAGTAACAGGCCAGGCAAGGTGGCTCATACCTGTAATGCCAGTACTTTGGGAGGCTGAGGCAGGAGGATTGCTTGAGTCAAGGAGTTTGAGGCTGCAGTGAGCTAGCATCTGGCCTCTGCTCTCTAGCCTGGGTGGCAGGGTGAGACCTTGACTCAAAAAAACTTTAAAAAAAGCCAGATCTTTGGGGCTTGGTAGATTATTTAAGAACTTAGAATGTACATTTGTGATATACTTTTGGAATAAGAGCCCACTTAAAGTAAGCCCATGAGGGAATTGTAAGAGATAAACAGGAAACAGGGAGAAAAAACTACACTTTCAGGAAGTGTTGCTTACAGAGATGGGGAAAATATAATGAGAACTGGAAGAAAATATCAAATCAGTATGAGTTTTTTAATGGAAGAAACATCAAAATATGTGTGTGCTATTAGGAATGGCCCATAGGCTCAAAGTCTTTTTCCTATATCTCTGACTGTCCCAGTAGCTCAAAGTCTTTTCCTCTATCTCTGACCGTATCCTCTCAGCCTCCCAAGTAGCTGGGATTACAGACACCTGCCACCATGCCCGGCTAATTTTTTGTATTTTTAGTAGAGACGGGGTTTCGCCGTGTTAGCCAGGATGGTCTCGATCTCCTGACCTTGGCAGCACTTACATCTATAAAGCCTGCAGCACTTATATTTAACATATAATTTAGCCTTCTCTTTCACACACGCACACGCGCGCACACACACACACACATATACACGGGGAACACTGAGCATGAAATGCCATATCTAAAAATATATACTCAACTATACTTCTTTGCCTTGATTTTCAAAGAAAGAAGTTTCTTTCAGTCGGAAACAGTGTTTCTCAACACCACTTCTGACCCCAAATATTTGCCTTTTCCATACCAAGCAATTCTTGAATTCTCTAGCACCAACTTGACATTCAACAATTCAATTTGATTCTAACATTACCTACAAATTCAGCTAATTGCAAATTTGAGGATTCACACTATTTCCATTTATGTTCATTAATTATCTAGAATAGCTCACAGAATTCATAAAAACACATTATCTATGTTTATTCTTTTATTATAAACGTTTCAACTCAGGAATAGCCAAATGGATGAGATGCATAGGGTGAGGTATAGGGGCAGGGGGAGAGATTGTAGGTGCTGCTTCTGTTCAGCACACATCGCCCTTCCAGTACTTGCATGTTTTCACCAACCCCAAAGCTCCCAGGCTCCTGTCATTTACAGTTTTCCTGTTTAAATAAAGATTTCATTATATAAACATAATTGATTAATCGTTGGCCATTGGTGATTTAACTCAACCTCCAGTCCCTCTCCCCTCCCTGGAGCTTAGGGTATTGTGCTAAAAGTCCAAACCCTTTTGTCTTAGTCTTTTTGATGACCAGAACCCATCCTGAAGCTATCCAGGGAATCTTCCTGAATCCCATTAAAATAAAAAAAGACAGTAAATTCCAAGAGTTTTAGAAACTCTGTGCCAGAAAATTGAGACAAACACAGAATATTTATTTTTTGTTAAACTACACAGTCTAACCCTATATTGCAAACCTCTTCTTAAATTACATAGTCTCATATTCTGTAAAATATTCTTTCTCAATTATACCTGCTCCAATATTTTCTGATAATTTTTTACCAAAATTATAAATCATAAACTTTTTACTGTAAAAGCCACCCCATATTGTCATCTAACCATTATTGCCCTATCCTCCTTTCTTCCATCAGCATAAGCTTCTAAAAGGAATATTCTACATTTACTCTTTTTACTTGTCTACACCATACATTGCTCAATACTTTCCATTCCTATAGCTCCAGTAAACTCTCTCTTATTGAAGTCATAAGCAGCTCTTCAATATGATGGACTCATTTCAGGGAACATACAATTAATAGTAGTAAAAAACTATTTTCAAACAACAAAACAAAAACTAAAGAAACTATCTCCTGTGCAGTTTCTTAATACAATATTTGACCCAATTCTATGCTTGAAAAGGATGTGTGTATAGAATTATATTAGTATGTGATTGCAGGTATACAAATAGAGAGCTTTTGGAGTAAGAACAAATGTATTGTTAGTGCCAGTTTCATTTGGTTTTGTATCTTTCTTAGAAGGGATGAACTACCTTTATCACAGCAGCTCTTGCTCTAAAAAATAATATCATGGATACTTGGAGGTTTCAGATCTACCTCATTTAAAAGCAGGGATGACTCACTCTATCAATGATCTCAAGTACTCTGATTTCTAGATCATGTCATTTACTGCATTTTCACATTTGTATCTGCTTCTAACAATGGGCAACTTCCTAAAATGCTTTTGAAAACACCACCCCATTCCCAAAGTCAAATTTTTCTTCTCATCTTTGGAGTAAAATGACTAATTAAGGAATCATGAAAACCCAAGTTAAGACTTGGGGAAACAAATTTGAAAGTGTTGGCAGTTTACCCATTAGTCAAAGAAGTACAGTACTTGTGAGCAAAGGTATTAGCCAAAATTAGGTTTAGATAATTAATTCCTATGAAATCCTAAATACATCTTAACATATCAAGGGACCAGAGAAACAAAGTATTTGATGGAAATTCCAGCTATAAAAGCACCTGAATGTTAAAGATGTCTGCAAATTTCATTCCTAATTTTTTTTTCCATTTAAGGTACTCCACAAGTTAAGAAGAGGTTATGTCACAGTAAATCCATCGTAAGTTGAAAATATCAAAGTCAAAAGTCCAATTAATACACCTAACCTACTGAACATCGTAGTTTAGCCTAGTTTACATTAAACACCATCAGAACAAGTAGCCTAGACTTGGGCAAAATCATCTGGCAACACACTACAGAAAGTTTTGATGTTTTGTAAAGGCAAAATATCTTTGGACCAAAAGGTTTTGCTTGTTTTTCTTTTGCTCGTAAAATTTAAAGTTATTCTGCTTCTTTATAGTTTAAAACTTTAATGGTTATTGTTTCAAACAATCTCTAGAAGAAATTGTTCATCTATTTTTAATTTTGCCTACATAGTTTTTTGTTTGACTTAGATGCATCATCTGGAGTAATTTAAAGGCTGCTTGACCTCTTAGCAGTATTACTATCGCTACAAACTCCTCAACCCTTCACTCTCTCCCCAACTGGATTAATTATTGTAGTAAAAACTAAGAAAAATACACAGATCTCTTTGGGGAAAAAATGTGTACATGTAATTACTAGAAGCACTTTTTAGCATTTACGGGATTCTTGAATATTTAATGTTAATATATACTGAGGCCTTTGGAATCCTGACCTGAAACTATATTTTCTTATTATTTTACTTTCCGTAATTTCTGAAGTAAAATTTTCTTATAGTCTGCAAATTAATAAACCATACTCACATTGGTTCATATTTATTAATAAACCATACAAACATTTATATGTTTCTAAATAAACAGAAATAAATTTATTATTTCTGTTTATTTAGTAAATGGAATAAATTATACCCAAAACAAATTAAACAAGTTAAAGTTGAATTACTTTTTAAATAAAAATAAAATTTAACTCTAGGTTTATTTTTATTTTATTTTATTTTTGCATTTCTAAGATTTGTTTTAATTGTGTTAACTTAATTTCGTTAAAATCAATTTATAATTGTATTAAAAGATACGTAACATAAAATGTATCATGTTAACCATTTTGAAATATACAATTCAGTAGTAAATACATTCACATTGTTGTGCACCCAATCTCTAGAACTTTTTCATTTGGAAAAACTGGAACTGTATTTTTATGAAACGACAACCCCCCATTTCTCCCTTCCTCCAGCCACTGGCAACCACCATTCTGTGTTCTTTTTTTAATTTGAGTACTCTGTATACCTCATGTAATTGGAATCATATAGTATTTGTCTTTTCTGTGGCTGTTTCATATGGCATGATATCCTCAAGATTTATTTATGTTGTTGCTAGCATGTATGAGAATTTCCTTCCTTTTTAGGCTGAATAATATTCCATTGTATGAAAATAACGCATTTGTTTATTCAGTCATGCATCAATAGACACTGGCCTAGCTTCCACCTTTTGACTAGTATGCATTATGCTGCTATAAACATGTATGTGCAAATATTTCTTTGAGATCCTGCTTTTAATTCTTTTAGATATATACACAGATGTAGAATTGCTGGATCATATGGTAATTCTATTTTTAATTTTTTGAGGAACTGCTGTATTATTTTTCATAGTAGCTGTACCATTTTACATTCCCACCACCAGTGCTTAAAAGGTACCAATTTCTCTACATCCTAGCCAGCACTTAATATTTTCTGTTTATTTGATAGTAGTAATTCTAATGGATGTGAGGTGACATCTCATTGTATTTTTTTTTTTTTTTTTTAGACAGAATTTTTCTCTTTTTGCAGAGGCTGGAGTGCAATGGTGCTATCTCGGCTCACTGCAACCTCCGCCGCCCAGGTTCAAGCAATTCTCCTGCCTCAGCCTACTGAGTAGCTGGGATTACAGGCATGCACCACCACACCCAGCTAATTTTGTGTCTTTAGTAGAGATGGGGTTTCACCATGTTAGTTAGGCTGGTTCAAACTCCTGACCTCAGGTGATCCGCCTGCCTTCACCTCCTGAAGTGCTGGGTTTACAGGTGTAAGCCACCACGCCTGGCCCATTGTAGTTTTGATTTCATTTCCACAATTATTAGTGATGTTGAGCACTTTTGTGTGTACTTATTGTCCATTTGTATATCTCTTTAGAGAAAAGTCTGTAGTTATTTGCTCATTTTTTAAACGGGGTTGATTTTTTTTTCCCCATTGAGTTCTAGGAGTACTTTATATATTCTGGATATTAACCTCTTACCAGATGTATAATTTGCAAATATTTTCTCCCTTTCTGTAGGTTGTTATCTTAGTCCATTTTGTGTTACTATAATAGAATACCTGAGACTGTGTTATTTGTAAAGGAAAGAGTTTTATTTAGCCTATGGTTCTCCAATAAGGGTACTTCAAGATTGGGTAGCTGCATCTGGATGGCTTCTGGTGAAAGCCTCATGCTGCATTACAACATGGAGAAGAAGCAGAAGGGAAAATAGGCGTATGTAAAAAGAGACCAAACATGAGAGGCAGCCTCACTGTGTAACAATCTGCTGTGTGATAACAAATCACATCTCATGAGAGCAAGAAAGCGCGCCTGAAAAAAAAAAAAACTAACAAAAAAACGTTAATTCTTCTTAATGACCTAATCACATCTTAACAGCACTGCCTCCCAACACTACTACCTTGGGTACCAACACATGACATGACTTTCAGTGGAGACAAACCATATTCACACCACAACATTCTCTCTCTGGCTTCCCCAAAACACACTCCCTTCTTACAATGCAAAATACAATCATTCCATCACAATAGTCCCCAAAGTCTTAACTTATTTCAGCATCGACTTTGCATCAACAGAAAAGTCCAAAATCCAAAGTCTCATCTGAGACTCAAGTCAAACTTCTTCCAGCTGTAAGCCTCTAAAATCAAAAACAAGTTATCTGCTTCCAAGGCACAATGGTGGAGCAGGAAATGGGTACACATTCTCATTCTAAAAGGGAGAAATAGGAAGAACAGAGTAACTTTTCCAAAGCAAGCTAAAAGCCCATCAGGGAAGATATTAAATCTAAAGGTTAGAGAATAATGTTTTTTGACTCCATGACCTACATCCTGAGCACACTGGTGTAGGAGATGGGGCCCCAAGGCCTCAGGCAACCCCACCTCTCTAGCTTTGCTTGGTGCAGGTTGCACAGCTGCTCTCATGGTTTGGAGTTTCATACCAGTGCCTGCGTCTTTTCCAGGTAGGCACTGCACAATGTTAGTGACTTGACAGTTTTTGAGCCCCATTTTAATGGCTCCACAGGCATTCTACTGGTAAGGAATCTCTGTGGTGTCTTTACCTGTGCAGCAGGTTTCTGTCCAGGCTTCCAGGCAGTCCATACATCCTTTGAAATGTAAGTGAATCCTACTGTAGCTGCTGCTCTAGCATTCTGTATACCTACAGAATTAGCACAATGTGGACCCCATCAAGATCTGCCACTTGCATGTTCTGAAGCAGGGGGCAGAGCCATGGGTGGAACCACATCAGGGGCCACCAGAAAGATGGCTGTGTGGCTAAGGGGCACTGTGCAAGAATGCAGAAGCAGGGTTCTAAGGCAGCCATGGGCAGCAAGCAGGTGAAGGGCATCAGGGACTTAATCCCCAAAACAATTGTGCCCTCATAGGCCTCTGGGTCTGTAATGGAAGCTGCAGACTTAAAGATCTCTGAGATGACCTTAGGGCCTCTTTCTGATTGTCTTGATGATTAGCACCTGGCTCCATTTTAAACATGTTAATTTCCTTAGCAAGTGGTCCCTGGGCCACATAATTGATTTTCTCTCTGAAAATGCTTTTTTATTCTACCACATGGCCAAATGTAAATTTTCCAAATCTTTCTTTTCTTCTTCTCTTTTCTTTTGCAGCTCTCTGGAAGCAGGTAGAAGTAAACATGCACCATTCTGAGAATTTTGCTGCTTAGAAATTTCTCCTACCAGATACGCTCTTCTATCACTCTTAAGTTCAGTCTTCCGGCTGGGTGCAGTGGCTCACGCCTGTAATCCCAGCACTTTGGGAGGCCGAGGCAGGCGGATCACAAGGTCAGGAGATCAAGACCATCCTGGCTAACACGGTGAAACCCTGTCTCAACTAAAAATACAAAAAAAAAAAAAAATTAGCCAGGCGTGGTGGCAGGTGCCTGGAGTCCCAGCTACTAGGGAGGCTGAGGCAGGAGAATGGCGTGAACCTGGGAGGCGGAGCTTAAAGTGAGCTGAGATTGTGCCACTGCACTCCAGCCTGGGTGACAGAGCGAGACTACGTCTCAAAAAAAAAAAAAAAGAAAAAAAAAAATTCAGTCTTCCACAAAGCCCTAAGGCATAGACACAATGCAGCCAAGTTCTTTGCTACTATGTAACAAAAATGATCTTTACTCTAGTGTCAGTAAGATGTCCATCATTTCCATAGGCCAACTCATCAAAATGGCCTTTAGTGTTTATATTTCTATCAGCATTCTGGCCAGACTATTTAACCAGTCTCTAAGAAGTTCAAGACTTTACCTAGTCTTCTCATCTTTGGAGTCCTCACCAAAGTTGCCCTTAATGTTGTCTTCATTGCAATACAGGATTTTTCTAGCCTGCTTCTCCAAATTCTTCCAGTCACTATCAATTACCCAGTTAGAAATTTTATATTTTCAGGTATCTATATAACATAGTTCCTCTTCTCAGTATCAATTTCTGTATTACTCCATTTTGTGTTGCCATAACAGAATACCAAGGAAAGAGGTTTATTGAGCACGTGGTTCTCTAGGCTGGGAAGTTCAAGACTGGACAGCTGCATCTGGAAGCTTCTGGTAAAGGCTTTGTACAGTATGAAAATATAGAGAAACAGAAGGGGAAGCAGGTGTTGTTAAGAGACCAGACATGAGAGACAGCCTCATTTTATAACAGCCAGGGTAACTAAATCAGTCTGAGGAGAGCAAGAATTTACTCTTGGAAAAAAGACATTAACTTCTCTTAACGATCTAATCTTAAGGCACAATGTCTCAACAATGTCTCACTTGGGAACAAGCATCAACGTGAGTTTTGATGGGAACAAACCATCTTCAAATTATAGCAGTTTACTTTTCACTCTATTAATTGTGTTCTTTGATGAATGAAAGTTTTTGATTTTGATCAAGGCCAATTTATCTATTTCTTCTTTTTTGTTATCTGTACTTTTTATGTCATACCTGTAAAATCATTGCCAAACTCAATGCCATGAATTCTTTTATCCATATTTTCTCCTAAGAGTTTTATATTTTAGCTCTTATGTTTAAGTCTTTGATACATTTTGAGTTAAATTTTGTACATGGTGTAATATAAATATCCAACTTTTGCATGTAGATATATTTTCCCAAGCAAAATTGTTGAAAAGACTGTTCTTTTCCCATCGAATAATTTTGGCACACCTGTAAAAAATAACTGGATTATGAATTCAGGGGTTGATTTCTGGACTGCCTATTACTGCCAATTAGTATTTATGCCTGTACCACACTGTTTTGATTACTGTAGCTTTGTAATAACTTCTGAAATTAAGGAGCATAAGACCTACAAGTGTGTTTTTTCTCAAGATTGTTTTGGCTATTCAGGTCCCTTGAGATTCCATGTAAACTTTAGGATGTATTTTTCTATTTCTGCAAAAAACATCATTGAAATTTTTATAGGGATTTTCACTAAATCTATGGATCATTTTATGTAGTATTGACATTTTAACATTATTCTAATCAGTGAAAATGGATTTCCATTTATTTATGTCTTCTTTAATTTCTGTCAGCTTCATTTTATAGTTTTTAGTGTACATGTCTTTAGCCTGCTTGGTTACATTTATTTCTAAGTAAATGAAATTGTTTTTTATATTTCCTTTTCAGATTGTTCATTATTAGTGAACAATGATATGCAGCTAAATTTCATGTGTTGATTTTGTATTCTGCAACATTGCTGAATTTAAATTAGAACTGAGCCCTATTAGTTTTTTGCCACATTTTTAGGATTTTCTGTGTGTAAGATCATGTCTTTTAAAAGAAATAATTTTAGTTTTATTTTTCCAATTTCAATGTATTTCATTTATTTATTTGTTGCCTAATTTCCCTGGTGAGGAGTCTATTAAATAGAGGGATGAAAGTGGGTATCCTTACATTGTTTGATTCTAAGTTTCTTTTTAAATTATAAACACAGAAATAAAAATGCTGAACATATTTGTTTGATTGATGCAATTGAATTTTATGTTCTAAAGGTATGTATTTTATGTTTATGTCAATTTGCAAAATAATTATAATTGTCTTTATTGTGGGAATTTGGGATCAGTTACTCAATCAAATGATTGCTCAGTTCTCTATTTTACTTCTCTCAGTAGCAAAGGTATAACAGAAGGAGCTTGTGGAATGCTCATTAAGTTACAAACAGACTGGTAATTTAACAATGGACTGCCAATAGAACAATAAAGCCTGTGTAGCTTTATTGTCTTGATACAGCGCATAATTTTTGACAGAAGCAATAGATTTTTTTCATTTTTCTAAAAAACTTGTTCTCAAGATAATATTTGTGTAGCTCTGCAGGAATAGACATCATCTGCTGAGAGGCATTCATAAAAATAAATAATGGGGGAATTCCCCTCCAGCCCCTATACACACTTTCTTTGAAAAGCAGTGACCATCACTGCATTTGGCTTTTTTAATTGGCACTGATTTCCTTTTTTGGCAAATGAAACTCAATTTTTCATACAAGCCAGCCTTCACTGTCTAATCCTAAATATAGGGGCAGCTTTATCACTTACATTTGGCATGGAAGGCTATACAAATCTATTTGGCTTATTTAATTCACTGAAAGAGGTAATTTTCTAAATAACTTCTATTGGCCTAAAGGAGGTAAGGTGCTGCCAGGTGGGTAGTTTATTCTCATTGGCACAATCATATCAGGACATGAACGGGATCCTCACTCTGGGTTTCTAGACACACAAACAAGCAGAACATGCAACTAAGCAAAGGGATTTGTACTCTTTCTGTATTGGTAAGATTCTCTTAACCTTTGCTGTATGGATATATATATATATATCCCTTGAACAACACAGGTTTGAACTACAAGGGTCCACTTATACACAGATTATTTTTAATCAATATGTTTATTTATTAAGGTAGATATGTAGCAAATGCATAAAATACACATAGATACTAGTCTATTTACATGCTAATCAATCATTTATGTTATCAGTAAGGCTTCCAGTCAATAGTAGGCTATAGTAGTTAAGTTTGAGGAGTCAAAAGTTATGCATAAATTGTCAATTGCATGAGAATTGGCACCCCAACCCCAACATTGTCCAATGGTCAAATGTATATAAATATATATAAATGTATACTGTATATAAAATAATATTTCTGTTATATTAATGATTAGGATTTTTAAATGTTTGTATTTTGAAATATAACACATATATATAATGCATAAAATGAATCTATAATGCAACAAATTATCACAGAAATCAAGCATGTAATGCTCATCCAAAAAAAGAAATAGACCACAAGAAATAGTTCTTTCTGTGCAATCTTCACTCCAACCATCTCCTTCCTCATGAAAGGTAACCACTACTCTGACATCTGATTCTAAAGTTCAAATTTGCCATAGAAATCCTTAAATAAATTGAATAATATGTATTCTTTGTTATCTGACTTGTATAATTATTTATCTCTCAATAATACTTTCACTTGTCTGAGCAGGGTTCTTGCTAATTTTTCACTAGTTTAGTTTTTAAAAATTTGTTCAATTCTATTTATTGGAAATGATGTTCTTTCATGACTAAAAAGTACTGGTGAGGTTGTGGAGAAAAGGGAACACTTATATACTTCTGGTGGAAATATCAATTAGTTCACACTGTAGAAAGCTTTTGGAGATTTCTCTAAGAACTTAGAACAAGATTACCATTTGAGCCAGTTATCCCATTATTGGGTTTATACCCAAAGGAATATAAATCATTCTACCATAAAGACACATGTATGCGTATGTCCATCACAGCACTACCTGCTATTTCACAATAGCAAAGACATGGAATCAACTTGAATAACCATCAATGGTAGGCTGGATAAAGAAAATGTGGTACATATATACCATGGAATACTACACAGTAGTATAGGACAATGAGATCATGTCCTTTGCGGCAATATGGATGGAGCTAGAGGCCATTATCCTAAGCCAACTAACATAGGAACAGAAAATCAAATACTGCATGTTCTCACTTGTAAGTGGGAACTAAACACTGAGTGGGAACAGCAGACATTAGGGATTACTTGAGAGTGGAGGTTGGGAGGAGGAGGAGGCTCAAGAAGCTACCTATCGAATACAATGCTTATTACTTGGGTGATGAAATAATCTGTACACCAAGCCCCTGTGACACACAATTTGCCCATGTAACAAACCTCCACATATACCTTCAAATCTAAAATAAAAGTTAAGAAAAAGAAAAAGAAAATGGTGTTTTTAAATTTATTTCATTTTTATTTTTGTGCTTGGTATGTGCATATACTTTTGATATTTGTGTGCTGAGCACTGAGCTTATGTTCAGTATTATTCCCAAACTCACTTCTTCATTTTAAAAATTTATTTGGAGATTTACTTCTATTTTCTGGCATATCATTATGCTGTCTGTAATGACACTTTTATTTCTTATTTTACAATATACATTACTTTTTCTTATTGGTGTTTTTATTATATTGGGTTGGACCTCTAGTAAGATGTTGAATAGAAGTGATGATAACATGTATAATTTTTTCTTATTTTAAATAAAAATAATTCAACATCATACCATAAAGTATGAGGCTAGCTACATACCTATTGTACGTACTCAATATTGCATTAAGAAAATATTCTTCAATTTCTGGTTTTCTAAATTCTTTTTCATGACTAAGTGTTTAATTTGTTAAGGGAGTTGTATATGTTGAAATCAAATGACTTAATATAGTACTAAAAAACATGGGTCATTTTTCAAATGTTAAACTAAATTTATATTTAGGAGATAAACCCAAGTTGATTATGATATGCTCTTCTTCTTATATTTCATTGCATGTTTTGGTTAATATTTTATATTTTTGCATCTGTGTTCATGATTTAAATTGGCCTATAATTTTTACCAGTGATAACGCTCTTGACAGAATATGTTATCAAAATTTGTTCCTATTTTTCCTAGTCTTGGGAAGAGTCATGTAATACCAGCATTAATTCTCCCCTACATATTTGATTGAATTCATTGGTCATATCATCTGAAAATGGAATTACCTCTATAGAAAAGTTTTAGATTTTATATTAAATTCTTCAATAAATATAGTAATATTTGATTATTTTATTTCATCTGTGTCAAAAGTAGCAAGCTGCATTTTTTCTAGGACTGTCCATTTCATCTAAATTTTTTAATGTGGAGTAAAATTTTTCATAATATTCTATTGGTGTCTTCTAAATTTTCAGTTTCTTATATTAGATAGCCTCCCTTCCTTTCCTTCCCTTTCTTCCTCCCTCCCTCCCTCCCTTCCTTCCTCCCTCCCTCCCTTCCTTCCTTCCCTCTCTCCCTCTTTCCCTCCCTCCCTCCTTCCTCCCTCCCTCCCTTCCTTCCTTCCCTCCTTCATTCCTTCCTTCCTCCCTTCCCTCCCTCTCTCCCTTCCTTCCCTCCCTCTCTCCCTCTCTCCCTCCGTCGCTCCCTTCCTTCCTTCCCTCTCTCCCTCTTTCCCTCTCTCCCTCTTTCCCTCCCTCCCTCCTTCCTCCCTCCCTCCCTTCCTTCCTTCCTTCATTCCTTCCTTCTTCCCTTCCCTCCCTGTCTCCCTTCCTTCCTTCCCTCTCTCCCTCTCTCCCTCCGTCCCTCCCTCCCGCCCTTCCTTGCTTCCTTCCCTCCTTCCTTTCTTCTTTCCTTCCTTCCTTTCCTCCCTCCTTCCCTCCCTCCTTTCCTCCCTCCTTCCCTCCTTCCTTCCTTCCCTCCCTCCCTCCCTCCTTCCTTCCTTCCTTCCTTCCATCCTTCCTCCCTTCCTTCAAGTTTTACAAGGCATTTATCAATTACAAAGACTGTCAAAGGTACAATTCTAGGATTTGTTGATCACCTTTTTATTTTTGCATTCTTAAGCTGTAATCTTATATTATTTCCTTGCAGATAACTTCTTTTGTCTTAATTTGCTCCTTTTAAGGAAGCTTAGATCATTGATTTTCAAATGTTCTTTTCTAAGATATCAATTTAAGCCTATAAATTTTCTACAAATTTTCATTCTGGTTTTTCTTTTATTTATGGGTTATATACAAGTATCTCAGTTCTATACATCTAGTGACTCATATGTGTATATATAGATATAGAGATAGAGATACAAAATTATGTGTTTATGTCTAGCAGAAATATACCATGATCAAAGAATAGTCTGAATATAATTTCGAATTTTATAAATGCCATTATGGAGTCTGAAGTTGCTGATCACAAACTAAAAATAAGTCAGTCAGGACAAACTTTTAGTTAAGTTCTTGAAATCTTTCATTAAAGTTGTACTATTTTTTTTCTGTTTCTATAACCATTAGTAAGGAGTGATAAACTTTCCACTATAATTATACATTTTTCTTTTACTTTTTTCAGTGCTGTCATGTTTCAAGGTTTTATTATTGGCTGCATTAAAAATTTGAAATTTTAAATATTCCTAGTGAACTATGTTTTTCCTTTAATGAGGTATATATTCTAATGTCTTGGTATGCATTCTGCATTAAAGTTTACTTTTTTAGCTATAGTTACACTAGTGTTCTTTGGGCTAATGTTTTCATGTTCTAACTTGTACTAGCTGTCTATTTCAATCTTTCTATGTTCTTTGATTTATCGTATATCTTCTGTATACTTTTTCTAACTTAGTTTGAGAACTTTGTTTCTAATTGGACAACTTGGTCCAGTTAATGTAACGTAATCACCAATAAACTGAAATAAATCTACTATTGTACTATTTGATTTTTATGTTCCACTACCTCCTTTTTTGCCTGATTTCATATTAATTAAATATTTTTATATTATTTCATTTTCCCATTCCTTAGATTATTAGTGATAGAACCTCTTATTAACCTTTTAGTGGTTTCCCTAGAAATTATAAATATGCATTGCTAATTTATCAATGTCAGTAGATAATGTTATCTGATACTTTTAAGCTTGTTTAAGATCAAACCTGGACGTTAATACTCTTCAAATGTGTTCAAGCTCCTCCTGTTCTTTGTGATCTATTCTAATGCTATTTTTTAATTTTCACAAGGTATTTTTATCGTTTCATGTACTCAATACTTACCATTTTCATTGCATCTAAAGTTTGCCTGTAACTCCAGATTTTTATTTTGAATAATTTTCCTGCTGATTGAAGAACATCATTTTGCATTTCCTTTATGACAGTACTGGTAAATATACATTTTTTACATTTTTCTTTTCTAATATTGTTTTTATTTCACCTTCATTGTAAGGTAATATTTTCTTTAAATAAAGTGTATAGAGGGAAATTTATAGCACTAAATGCCCGCAAGAGAAAGCAGGAAAGATCCAAAATTGACACCCTAACATCACAATTAAAAGAACTAGAGAAGCAAGAGCAAACACATTCAAAAGCTAGCAGAAGGCAAGAAATAACTAAGATCAGAGCAGAACTGAAGGAAATAGAGACACAAAAAACCCTTCAAAAAATCAATGAATCCAGGAACTGTTTTTTTGAAAAGATCAACAAAATTGATAGACCACTAGCAAGAATAATAAAGAAGAAAAGAGAGAAGAATCAAATAGACGCAATAAAAAATGATAAAGGGTATATCACCACCGATAACACAGAAATAAAAACTACCATCAGAGAGTACTATAAACACCTCTATGCAAACAAACTAGAAAATCTAGAAGAAATGGATAAATTCCTGGACCCTCCCAAGACTAAACTAGGACACCCTCCCAAGACACCCTCCCAAGACTAAACTAGGAAGAAGCTGAATCTCTTAATAGACAAAAAACAGGCTCTGAAATTGAGGCAACAATTAATAGCTTACCAACCAAAAAAACTCCAGGACCAGATGGATTCACAGCTGAATTCTACCAGAGGTACAAAGAGGAGCTGGTACCATTCCTTCTGAAACTATTCCAATCAATAGAAAAAGAGGGAATCCTCCCTGACTCATTTTATGAGGCCAGCATCATCCTGATACCAAAGCCTGGCAGAGACACAACAGAAAAAGGGAATTTTAGACCAATATCCTTGACGAACATTGATGCAAAAATCCTCAATAAAATACCGGCAAACCAAATCCAGCAGCACATCAAAAAGCTTATCCACCATGATCAAGTGGGCTTCATCCCTGGGATGCAAGGCTGGTTCAACATACAAAAATCAATAAACGTAATCCAGCATATAAACAGAACCAAAGACAAAAACCACATGATTATCTCAATAGATGCAGAAAAGGCCTTTGACAAAATTCAACAACCTTCATGCTAAAAACTCAATAAATTAGGTATTGATGGGATGTAATTCACAATAATAAGAGCTATCTATGACAAACCCACAGCCAATATCATACTGAATGGACAAACCTGGAAGCCTTCCCTTTGAAAACTGGCACAAGACAGGGATGCCCTCTATCACCACTCCTATTCAACATAGTGTTGGAAGTTCTGGCCAGGGCAATCAGGCAGGAGAAGGAAATAAAGGGCATTCAATTAGGAAAAGAGGAAGTCAAATTGTCCCTGTTTGCAGATGACATGATTGTATATCTAGAAAACCCCATCGTCCCAGCCCAAAATTTCCTTAAGTTGATAAGCAACTTCAGCAAAGTCTCAGGATACAAAATCAATGTGCAAAAATCACAAGCATTCTTATACACCAATAACAGACAGAGAACCAAATCATGAGTGAACTCCCATTCACAATTGCTTCAAAGAGAATAAAATACCTAGGAATCCAACTTACAAGGGATGTTAAGGACCTCTTCAAGGAGAACTACAAACCACTGCTCAATGAAATAGAAGAGGATACAAACAAATGGAAGAACATTCCATGCTCACGGGTAGGAAGAATCAATATCGTGAAAATGGCCATACTGCCCAAGGTAATTTATAGATTCAATGCCATCCCCATCAAGCTACCAATGACTTTCTTCACAGAATTGGAAAAAACTACTTTAAAGTTCATATGGAACCAAAGAAGAGCCCGCATCGCCAAGTCAATCCTAAGCCAAAAGAATAAAGCTGGAGGCATCACGGTACCTGACTTCAAACTATACTACAAGGCTACAGTAACCAAAACAGCATGGTACTGGTACCAAAACAGAGATATAGATCAATGGAACAGAACAGAGCCCTCAGAAATAATGCCACATATCTACAACTATCTGATCTTTGACAAACCTGACAAAAACAAGCAATGGGGAAAGGATTCCCTATTTAATAAATGGTGCTGGGAAAACTGGCTAGCCATATGTAGAAAGCTGAAACTGGATCCCTTCCTTACACCTTATACAAAAATTAATTCAAGATGGATTGAAGACTTACATGTTAGACCTAAAACCATTAAAACCCTAGAAGAAAACCTAGGCATTACCATTCAGCACATAGGCATGGGCAAGGACTTCATGTCTAAAACACCAAAAGCAATGGCAACAAAAGACAAAATTGACAAATGGGATCTAATTAAACTAAAGAGCTTCTGCACAGCAAAAGAAACTACCATCAGAGTGAACAGGCAAGCTACAGAATGGGAGAAAATTTTTGCAACCTACTCATCTGATAAAGGGCTAATATACAGAATCTACAATGAACTCAAACAAATTTACAAGAAAAAACAAACAACCCCATCAAAAAGTGGGTGAAGGATATGAACAGACACTTCTCAAAAGAAGACATTTATGCAGCCAAAAGACACATGAAAAAATGCTCATCATCACTGGCCATCAGAGAAATGCAAATCAAAACCACAATGAGATACCATCTCATACCAGTAAGAATTGCAATCATTAAAAAGTCAGGAAACAACAGGTACTGGAGAGGATGTGGAGAAATAGGAACACTTTTACACTGTTGGTGGGACTGTAAACTAGTTCACCCATTGTGGAAGTCAGTGTGGCGATTCCTCAGGGATCTAGAACTAGAAATACCATTTGACCCAGCCATCCCATTACTGGCTATATACCCAAAGGATTATAAATAATGCTGCTATAAAGACACATGCACACGTATGTTTATTGCAGCACTATTCACAATAGCAAAGACTTGGAACCAACCCAAATGTCCAACAATGACAGACTGGATTAAGAAAATGTGGCACATATACACCATGGAATACTATGCAGCCACAAAAAATGATGAGTTCATGTCCTTTGTAGCAACATGGATGAAGCTGGAAACCATCATTCTCAGCAAACTATCACAAGGACAAAAAACCAAACACCGCATGTTCTCACTCATAGGTGGGAATTGAACAATGAGAACACATGGACACAGGAAGGGGAACATCACACTCTGGGGACTGTTGTGGGGTTGGGGGAGGCGGGAGGGTTAGCATTAGGAGAGGGTTAGCATTAGCATTTACCTAATGCTAAATGACGAGTTAATGGGTGCAGCACACCAACATGGCACATGTATACATATGTAACAAACCTGCACGTTGTGCACATGTACCCTAAAACTTAAAGTATAATAATAATAAAATTTAAAAAAAGACGTATAGGTCCTATGTTACTCTCTTTCACGACTTCAAATATATCACTTTATTGTCTACTGACTTGAATTACTTCTATGAAAAGTTAGTTCCAGGTTAATTGTTGCTCCTTTAAAACCAATCTGTATTGTTTCTCTAGCTGCTTTTTATTCTCTCTTTCTCTCTCTGTCTCTGTCTCTCTCTCTCTCTCCTTCCTCCCTCAGAATTTTCACTGTGTGAACCTAAGGGTGTGGGATTTTTTTCACTTTTTTTTTTTTTTTGCATTCTCAAAGTCTCTGTGATTGGTTTTGTTTGTTGTGGTCAATTTTGGGAAATTTGCAGAAATTGTATCTCTAAATATTGCTTCTTCCTCATTTTTTCTTTCTTCTCTTACTGAGAATCAAATTACACATGTTTTTGATCTTCTAATTTTGTTCTTTTTGACTCTGAAATACTGCCCTCTGTCTAACATACTTCATCTCTTCTTGCTTCATTCTGGAAATTTTCTTGTGATCTACTTCGAATTAACTAAATCTTCCTTTAGCTGTGTCTATTTTATGGTTGAACCAATCTATAAAATTCCTCATTTAGTTTCTTATTTTTTTAAGTTCTAGAACATTCATTTAAAAAAAAATTCTTGTGCTCTGCCAAATATTTCTATCTTATCATCTATCTCCTTGAATATAACAAGCAAAGTTGTTTAAACTCTTAAACACAGTTAGAGATAACTAGAAATCTGTGATTATCTAATTTAGTTTTAGATTTGAAATAATTTAAAACTAGGCCTCAATGTGTGGGAGAGTTACACCACTTGTTGTTTACTGAAGTTTTCTTCCTAGACTTGAGGGAGTTTCAAAAGCTTTGCTCAGCTTCTCAAACACTGAGCTATGTTTTTAAGAATCAGCTTAAGCTATTTGAGAGAAATTAGCACAAAATAACAACCATATTTAGATTTCTACCTTTCAAATCTTGACCTTGCAATTTTTTCACAGCTTTGTTAGCTCTGCCATGCCTTCAGGCTATTGTTTTTTTTAACTTTATCCAGCTTTTTAAGTTGTCTTCAATATGAATTTTGGTCCAAATTACCAAATTACTGGCATTTAAAAACTGCAAATCTGCATAATCTGTTTTTTTTTAATCTCTGAAGAATAATGACGAGAAAAGATATTTACAGGTCTTTATAATTTTCAAATGATACATTTCTAAATATTTTAAATACTCTGCAGAGCATGAATTGTTATACTCTTTAAAATTGTAATACATGAGCACAAAAACATCTATGTCCATAGAATTGTGTCATGTCATTTTTACACATATTCCTCTAACATTAAGTACCATTCTTGAACAAGCATGTCTCTTCCATCATTATCATCTTGACACATTGGACAGTGCCTTGTATATAGTAACTACTCAATACATCTTATAAATTTAAGGTATTTGATAGAAGTATAATAATTATCATTAAAATCTTTAGTGGCTATTTTTAACTGGCTATTTTAACCCTAGCCTTTTTCAAAAATGCATATAAAAATATAATTAAATATAAATTATGTTTTTTAAATAAGTTCCAAGGCTTAAAACAAATTTAACAACATCGTAAAAAAACTCATATTGTAAATTGTTTATACTGAAAATATTTTATGCATGTATCCAAATGCATCAGTAAAAAAAATGGTTATTTATAATTATATACACATAATACATATATTTAAATACTAAATAAATAAATGTAATAATTATTAATAATTTTCATCTCTCTGTGACTTCGTGAAGCTCCAGTAGTTACTCAAATTAGTGAAGTAATCCAGTTTAAGGGTTTTCATATTCAGGTTCAGGGTCCCCTATAGCCTCAGGCATTGTTCTTCTTAAGATACTTGGTCTTTCTCTACTTTCCTTGGAGTTAGAAGCAAATAGCAATTATCTTTGGCAGCATATACAATGTTGCTGTGGTTTAGAGTGGAATAATCTCTGGTTGTGTTTTTTTCCATTTTGGTCACCAATACACTGTTTAACTCCCTCAAACTATGTTCAAGATGTTCTTAATGGTTTAGAACTACTAGATATAATTCTGTCTCTATTTGATGGATTGATAGAGTCCCTGTTTAGAGATATGTTTGTGCTCAGGTCCTTTTGTTTGTGTCTCTAGCCCTTTAAAAGAAAGATACTATTTACTCTTTTTCATTCAATATTTAGGATCCCTTCTTTCCTTTTTTTCCAAGCAGAGTTATTCATTACCCATCCACCTTCTATTCTTCTGTGTACAGTTCCACTCTTGTCTGAAGCTATTGTTTAAGCAGATAGTTGAATTTTTCTATCACTTACTTACATGTAAGTGTTTGTTCATGCTTCCCAACCCGCAAGATGAGCACGGAAAGAAATGGCCTCAGAAAACAATGCTAAGAGGGTGAGGAAAATATGCAGAAAATGTGCAGATTAAAATTTAGAGATATAATACTGGTACATACATTATCCTATTTATATACCTAAAAGTCTGAAAAGAAAGAAAAAAGCCTTTGTTTTATGCCACTATGTTCCAGACCACATAGAAAAGATGTTTATATTTAATAAGAATTATAATTTTTTAAGGCAGATGTTTATAGATGAGGAAACTAAACTTCAGAGTGGTTAAGGTGGTTTGCCAAATGTCACACAGTAAGACAAATTGTCAGAATTTAAACCCAGGTCCTGCTGGCTTCTAAACTAGGCCTGCAGATTTCTATTTCATGCTTATACTTATGTTGAAGATATAAAAATACACATATCTAAATCTATGTCTTGTCTCATTTTAGATTTTATATATGACTTCATTTGCACAGATTAAAGTCACTTTCCACTGGGCTAAATATCCAGAGCTGAAGAATTTTTATAGGCAATGAATTAATGTATATGAAAACTTAATGAATATTACATATTACAATTAGGTAGAACCTTCTTTCCTTATCCCATTTCCTCTGCAAAGGAGAAAAAGGAAGGACAAAAAAAATGCTTGATTCCCCTCCTGATTTACTGTAGCTGCCATTTAAAATGATTAGTTATACCAGAGTTACCAAGTTGCTGTATAGATATTATTTAAATTGGATTGTTGGACAAGCAGGAAGAGGAAGGCTAGTGTAGAGGAATGGGCTATTAAGAAATAATACTGATCATATTTATATTTTATAAACATTTGTTATTGGCCAGGCACTTTGCAGAGAGCTTTTCATGTATTACCAAATTAATAATTTTATTGATCGTTAAATCTTGACTTTAACCCTATGAAATAGTATATGCTACCATTTTTATAAGTGATAAAACAAAATGGAGAATGCCTAAGAATAAGTTTAGTATAGTGATTACTTATAGTGGTTTTTAAATTTAATTTGGCTACGTTTCCTATTTTTGCTGTTCAAGCTTTAGATCAATGCTTCCCAAACATTAGGCAGCAAAAAATCACCGGGAGATCTTGTTAAAATGCAAATTCTAATTTTGTAGGTGGAGGGGTTTGGATATGGTTTACTTGTCCCCACCAAAGCTCATATTGAAGTTTGGTCCCCATTGTGATGGTGTTGAGAGTTGGGGCCTAATGGCTGGTGTTTGGGCTATGGGGATGAATCCCTCATGGGTAGCTTGGTGCTATTTTCCTGGGAGTGAGTGATTCTGGCTCTCACGAGACAGGATTAGTTCTCACGAGAGTGAATTGTTAGAAAGCCAAGACACCTCTCAGGTTTTCCCCTCTTTTCATGTGCCTGCTTCTCATCTTATCTTCTCAGCCATATTTTGATGAGCACAAAAGCCCTCTCCAGAAGCCAAGCAGTCATCAGCATCATGCTTCTTGTCCAGCCAACAGAACTGCCAAATAAACCTCTTTTCTTTATCAATTACCTAGCCACAGATTCTGCTTTAAGCAACACAAGACAGTAGGTCTCAGGTGGCGTCAGAGATTCTGCACTCAAACAAGCTCCCACAAACCATCCTTTAAGATACAAGACTTTAGATCACTGCTTTTTCCATTAAGTCCAATCCTTAAAGCCCTTTATACTGATTTTACATTAGTTAAAAATGAAGCAGGTATTAATATTTAAATTCATTAAATAAATTTGGTAACCAGATACACATCTATTACTTGATAACTTAGACTGTGTAAGAATAGATAATTCTAAACTTTGTACTTTATGACTACGAATTAGGGTTCATGTCCTATCAATGTCTCCAGAAACAGGCTCATCTTTTCTGGCTTTATACAAATGCTTTACACAAATTGTCCCTGTCCCATTACCACTTAGACACTGCTCCATGAACTATTGAGTTTGCTCTAGCCTTAAATTAGTTTTCTATAATCATATATTTAGTGGCTTTAAACGCTACAAATTTATTGTTTTATAATTCCATGGGTCAGAACTCCGGTGGGCTCTAAGAGAGGTTCTGTTTTCTTGCTTGTTCAGGTTGTTGGCAGGATGTTCCATCCAGTGGGTAGAACTGAGGTCTCTATTGCTGCGGTTGTCAGCTGAGAGCCGTTACTAGCTCCTGGAGATTGCTTGCACTCTTCAGCTCATGGCACCCTTCCTCTATCTTCAAAGCCAGCAACAGCTAATGGAATCTCTCTCATGCTTGAAGTATTTCCTGCCTCTTCTGTCACATCTCTCTGACTCTCTCTTGCACTCACCAGAAATAATTTGTTTCTAAGTGTGTATATGAGTAGATTGGGCCTATTTTAATAATTTAGGATAACGTATCCATTTCAAAGTCTGTAATCTTCATCTGATATGCAGAATCCCTTTTTACAAAGAAAATTCATATTCAGGTTTTCAGAATTCCCAGGATTATGACATGCACCTATTTGGGGGACTATTATTCTAACACACAAGCCTGTTGTGTGGGATAGGCTTGTTTTAGCTAGATTTATTAGCTAAAATGAGAAAAACTAAGTGAAACAGAAGAAGAATGTATTAAAGCTTCTAAGATATCCCTCAGAAATTCTAGGAGGGCCAGAAAACTGGTTTTAGAGATTATGCAGCCAGAAGTAATATCTAAGCCAACCACTAAACTATTCACAGGCTTGATTCCAGTACAGGCATTGCAAACCATACATATGGGACCCTAAGCGCAGCCCTTCCACAACAGTTGTTTCTCAGTCTCAGTGTCTATGCCAACCTCTGCCATATTTACTAGGTATGAATTCCTCAAAAAGCCTGCCTCTTCTTGTTTTGCTCTGCTGAACACTGAAATATTGTGGAGGTACATTTCACTGGGGAAAACAAATAAATATCTGTCTCTTAGCCACAAAGGAGGTGACGAATTGAATTTTGGATTTTTCTTTAGTATCAATTTTGCCAAATATAGGGAAAAAAGAATTTTTAAAAAGTTCTGATCTATAAGTATGACTCTACAACCTATATAATCCTTGGATTTAAATAAAGCTCTAAGAAGGCTAGTCCTCACCTGGCTGTTCCTCGCCTTCAACACAAAAGAATGCTTCTCCAAGCCTCCCAAAAGGCCTAGGGAGTCCACCTACACTACGTTAGTTAATATAGTAACATTCATGGTTGTATTTTGAAAAGATGGTGACATTTAAAGACTCAATAACTCATAGAATCATAAAAGTAAAGCCTCAAGTATTTCTTAAGAGTTCTCACAAATCTGCAGCAGGGACAATTTAGTTTTTTTTGTTTATATTCATGGAATTTTATACCAACTCAAGGTGTTTTTCTCTAGTCATAGGGCTCTGGAGCCTGGATTAAATGACCCTAACAATAGCCTGTGTTGTACACATTATGTTTAGCTTACAAATCCCATTAATACAGTACTTTTTGCTCATGTCTACTATCTAGAAATTACTATGAACAATAGTGCACTGTCTGTCAGTATAGTTGGAGGATTGGTTCCAAGACACTACATAAACACAAAATTGGTGCATACTCAAATCCCGCAGTCCTGCCTGTGGAATATATGCACACTAAAATTTGGCCCTATGTATAGGCAGGTTTGCCTACCACAAAGGTTTTATTTGTTTGGTTGGAAAAAAAATTGAGTATAAGTGGACCTATGTAGTTTAATTCTGTGTTGTTCAAGGGTGATCTATCTATTTATTACTATCTTTATTTTACTGTAGAATAATCACTGGATTAATTGTTTAAATTGGGAAGACCTTGATCTGAATTCTCTGTCTCATTTTCTGCATCTCTCAGATTGGGATGCTAGCATTTAACTCATGGGATTTTTTTCAAAATTAAAAGGGATAAAACGTGTATCACTTGGTTGCTATTAATACAATATAAATTTAGAACAAAAAGTGGATTTAGTAATATTTAAAATAATTTCTTAACAGTGACCCAGTTGGTCAACTGATGATTCAGATTTTGAAATGGAAAAGCCTAATGTCTGCTCACATTTAATCCAAGATTTTTCATTTAGAACAAGACAGACATTTCTATCTAGAGTTGAGGTTACAAACTATGGGAAGGAAAAAGAAGGTTTTCCTGGAAAATCTAATTTTTCCTCTGAGAATTAAATCAGTGGCCCTAGCCATGAACTTTCTAGAATCATATGTAATATAAACTATAACCTAAAGGCATTTCCATAAATAGCAAACCATGAAATCATGCCACAAGAATGACCGACTGATGTGGTCAAGCTATTCATCTTACACATAGTTTATTCAATAGTAATGTTTGAGTTCACTGGGAAATATATCCATGAATTTGATGTTTGTATCCTGTCGCATCCAAATTGAGATTAGTCTCTGCACATGAAGTCAGCAGTTTGGCTTGAATCCCCTTTCCTCCCAGTTGCTAGCTATGGGCCTATGCATTCATTTTATTAATAAGCAATTCCTTATTGAGGGACTGTACACCATGTAAGATAGGTGCTAGGGCTCTAGTTCACATGACAGACACCATTCCCGTCTTCACAGAACTTTTAATCATGGTAATAGTAGTTGCTGAATGACAGCCATTAAACAACCAATTACAAAATTATTTCATTAAAGTTTGAATGAGAGCTATTGAAAAAATATTTATAATTTTCACACCAAATCAATTCCTAACTGCAAAATTTTGAAAATAAGATTGTCTTGAAAGAAATTTATGTCCTATGCCACTCATTGTAAAAAAATAAAGTACACATTGTATTAAGTTTAGAGATGTTTAAATGATGCCAAGTAAAAGAGGTTAATTTCTAGCATTTTGCTAGTGAGGCCTTTTATTAAACATCACTTGTAATTTGAATGTTGCTTCTTTCAATTTCTTATAATTAGTTAGAATTTATTCCAAGCCACATCATCATATAATCTAAAATAATAACTTCATTGACAATGTGCAGTAATAATTGCTGTCTGGTTATCAACAGTGAACTATGATGATTGGGCTGATAGTGTTAATGCTGGTCTTTTAAAGTCAGTGCATCAATATTAATATATTCCAAAAGAGTACCAGCCAATTAAACCTTCAGTGAATTTTATCCTAGTTTGGTTGCCCTGCATTCCACTATGTTTTAATTTCTCAATTGTTAATAAATATAACTTCATCTTGTTGATCTATAGCACCTGTCATCAAATAGCACTGTAATTTGTGACGCCAGAATTTAGTATCTTAAATAAATGTCTTTAGGATGACCATCTCAATAACTAAATACAAAATGTTTTTTGCAGGAATGAAATACTGCTTACACTCCATCTGGAGTACTTTCATCAACTCAAATCTATCTTATTGCTTATAAAAATAATCATTATACCATGACTTTTTCCTTAAGTAAGTTATCTGAAAACTTTTTTGTCATATTTTCAGTCTTTATCACTTGTTGAGAAATTTTAGTAAGTCCCTGAATCAGAGAATCTCCTTCTTTCAAATTAAGTTGCTATTACAAAATTTAATCATTCATGTCATCACTCGTAGTGATTCAACACATTAAAACTATAGCTCTCTGGCACTAACACCAAGAATCATATGTTTCCCTTTAACACTGTAGCATCTTCTTTTGAAGCTGTTACAATATTCCTGGAAATGGTTTAGCTTGTCTATGTGATACATTTTCATTAAAAATATCTCATTTAGAATAAGTCATAGTGATTCAACTGAAGTCTGCAAAAGACATTAATATACATAGTCAATAAGCATTAATATTATGTTTAATACAGAGTGTTTCACTCAATATATTGACCTCACTTTGCTGACAAAAATATTCTGTTGATATTACAGAAAATATTCACTATTATTTAATGTCACTTAAATATTTTGCATAATGCGAGATGTTAAACAAACCTTTATTTTAAAGGAAAGTAACACTTGGCTTTTGTGATTTTCTTAAACATTCAAAATGAAATGCTCTGACTTTAGAAAAAAATGTCCCTACCACTTCTATTTGACAGCATAGCCATGTTTGAAAAATGATAGAAGATTCAGCGAGGTCCAAAAGAACAGAATTAGCTTTATAAGGACATGTTGGGAAAGTATTTTTTCTGTCATGATATTGCACAAAGCAAATACACATACTTATTAAGTCATTGAAACAGACATGAAAGAAAAGACCGTTAAAAGAACTATCTGTCATAGTAGTTATTAATGATGAAATTTTAGATGGGATTCTGTCCAATTAGTTTCTGTGACTCTCAAGTTCTGCATAAATTTGATAAAATTTGCTTGTTTGCATCGTGATTTTTCTGAGGCTCTCTTTCCTGGGCAAATCTCCAGATTGGCAAGCTCAAGCGGATTTTAAAATAGCCTTTCCATATATCACCCACACTTGTCCTGCTTGGGGACGGATTGACGTTTGAGCTTTGAGGGTTGTAACTAAGCTGCTTTTCTCTGCAGAAAAGTTCATTTTACTTCAGCTGTTGCAGATACCTCCCTTACCTCCCACTAATTCAGTGTTTTCCAATTGTGTCAGCCTGCTTCCAACAGCTCAAGCACACCATTTGAAGTTCACAGTAAAAGAATGCCATGAAGAGCAACTTTTCCAAACTCATTCTTCACTCTTGACATGTTACATAACTTTCCTACATGGATAAAGTATAATAATATATTTATTTTTCTTTCAGTTCAGATAGGGAACTGTTAGACTGGCCAACCTGATGTTTTTTTCTAACATTTAAACATTTAATTTATTCTTATTAATGAGGTTTAATCTTTATAATCTAATTTGTAAAATAATTTAAAAATTCTTGAATGATCTCAATCAATCCATGTATTTTGGTTCTTTTCTAAGAGCAAAGCTTTCTAAAAAAGCATACAGAAGGTAGAAGAGGATCTCAAACAGAAATTAAAAGTAGGAATCTAAAATCTGGCAGCACCTATCACATACAAAATGCAACTTAATATATTTCTTTGGGCCTGATTAGTACTAGTAGCACACCACTAATGAGGTCTAGATTATAGACTCATAGAACGTTGGAACAGACCTAGAAAGAATCTATAAACTGATCTAGGTCAAAATTCCTACCTCTTCACTTTCAAGAAGAGGAAAATGATTCTTGTAGAGTTAAATGACTTGGCTAAAGCCAAATAACTACTTACAGAGCAGAAATTAAACCCAAGGCCTCCTAACTTCTGTGCCATTGCAATTTTTCCTAAGAATAATAAGTATAGCTTATGTAATCCTTTATTAACAGTGAAAGCAGCCCCACATACATGTCCTTTGACAGTGGATCAAGATCATCATCTTCATATTAAATAGCAAGCTTTATTACTCACACACTGATTAAGGGAAGGACTAAAGCACATGGTTTTCCACTTCCTCACTAGGTTACACCCAATAATTTTTCAATGTTTTATTTCATAGCCAAAACAAGAAAAGTGGTAAAATAGTATTTAGTTCATATAAGTTTCCAGCAAATATGTATGAAAATGGTTTAAATGTATATTCAAATGCTTTAAACAGTAGTTTCTGTGTTGATAATATGTTTGCTCTAGAGAAGAATATCGTGGTTGATAAGGCCATTTTGTGAGCCAGGACAACTGAGTTCAGACACCACAGTTTAATCATATGTTAATGAAAATAGGTTAATGAAAGTACTGACCTCACAGGGATATTTGATAAAATGTGTTAATATGGCTATGTTGATATTGTTATCAACCACCATTATTATTTTTTTCCAAAGATTTGTAGTAATAAACTGTTTTAAAAAGAATGGCTATATTGTGTTCACTATAATCTGTTCTCTATGAAGGATACATTCTTTTAATAAAATATTTACTGGCAAATTGCATCTGAGGCATTTTTTGAGTTGAATTTAGAACCATAAGCAATAAGATTTCAACATTAAAAATGTATGGTATATAAATGACTTTATACTAAGCTACAACTAAAAATAATTGCTGATCAAGGTGTTAAAACTTAAAAATGTAAAGTAAAAAGTTTTCTCCTATATGTCCCCTATTGCTTACTGACTTCATATTCTCCCTCAGTTTACTTGTATGAAAAAAAAAAAGTATATTGGACAAGATAATCTGTGAGAAATTTCCAGTCCTAAAGCTTTAATTGCATTTCTTGATTTTATGTCTCATTTTCAAAGGAAGCTTTCGCACTCTCAGAAATAGGTAACAAAGCAAATGTTTGCTAAAAAGTAAGCATTTCAGCTTTAAGTAATAGATAAATTTAAGTAATAGATAGATTTAAGTGTTTCAGGTTTAAGTAATAGATAGATTATCTTCTGGATTTTTCTAAATATTAGGTTTCCAAAAAGAACACAGCGGTAATTTAGTATATAGAATAGCTTTGTTGAAAGTGAATGATAGGGTACCTGTATAAAAATTCAGTGAAATTAGAATCCTGAAAATTATTTTAGACAGATACATTTAGACAGTAAATATGGGGTTAAATCACAGGAAACGTTTCATAAGAAACAACGTTTACTTTAAGACCAATATTTTCTGGAGCTTTTCATTTATGTTATAGAAGCTATTTCTCACCTCGTTAGTTGGAATTCTCCAGAGAAACAGAACCAGTAGGATGTATATACAGAGAGAGACTTATTTATTAGAAAGGAATTGGCTTACATGGTTGTGGAAGCTGAAAAGTTCCAAGATCTGTAGTCAGTAAGCTGGAGTTCCGGAAGAGTCAATGCTGTAGTTCCAGTCTGACTCCAAAGGCCTAAGAACCAGTAGAGTTGATAATGTGAGTTTTAGTTCAGGGACCAGCAGGCTTGAGAGCCGGGAAAAGCTGACGTTTAGTTTGAGTCTGAAGGCAGAAAAAAAAGGCACATGTCCCAGTTCAAAGGTAGTCAGGCAGGAGGACTTCCCCCCTTACTCATGAAAAGGTCAGCATTTTTGTTCTAGTAACGCCTTCAACTGATTGGATGAGCCCCACCCACATTGTTGGGTCGGGAGAGGCGGCAAACTACTTTACTCAGTCTACAAAAATGTTCATTTCATCCAGAAACAACCTCACAGAAACATCCGGATTAATATTCAACCGAATGCTTCGGTGTGCTATGGCCCAGTCAAGTTGAGACATAAAATTAACTATCACACTCACCTTCCTAAAAGTGACTGGGTGTTAGACTGGTTCACCCTTTCCCTCCCTCCACCTTGCATCCCACAGTTAATCACAAACGAGGGTGTTGAAGGTGAACAACAGCCCCGCTTCCTGACTTCAGGGGATGACAAACTGTCTTGTCATTTGTGGTCCAAGTTCACAGGGGATCAGAACGAACTTAGTCTTCACCTGAAAGCACATCTTGTGCAGCTCCTTCTCCTTCTCCACCTTGCTTCCCTCACTCCCTTACTTGTTTCTCCTGAGAACACTATCTTAATGAATCAATAGCATAAAATTTCCTATTGGAGGTCGGCTTTTAGGGAACCAGATGTAAATAATAGCTTTGCAGCCTTTGGAAAAACTGTGGGAGAAGCCCAAGGAGGTAAAAAGTACTTATACTTTTTTCAACCTCTCCTCAACAAATCTTCAGTTATCTATTTTTATAATTTAAACCTTAATTTTATAGGAGTGTATGAATTTTACATATATATAGAGTAATGCATATCAAAGTATATAGCAATTCTTATATAAATAAATATCCAATATTTTTGTTATAGTTTGTAGTTGTATTTAGCCTCTATACTTTGTCTATATGGTTTTTAAAAGTGGAAGGTCTTTATACAACATTTAAAATGTAAGGACATGTAAATAAGCATCGAATGGAGAATCAAGGAGTGAGACTGGATCTATAAGGGAAAGAAATATAATATTCCTGATATTCTTTAAAATTGCCACTCAAAGTAGAATCTTCCAAGACTAAAATCAACAGATCTTCTTTCCCATCTCCTGTCTTCTGCTGTATCATTGTTAACTCATGTGGCCTCTCATCTCTGATGAGATCTGGTTATGAATCAGAATAGTACGCTCATAGACATGCCCATGCTCGTGGACATGCCTCTTGTATCTGTTATCTGCTTTGTTTCCTTTTTTCTTTTTGCTAAAGTAACTTTTTTCAAACCACGTCCTCAGTTGGTTAATATTTCATAACTAAGACCCTTCAGTGGGTTGACCATTATGTATGGACTTTGATTGCCTTTCTTCTGTATTTTTGCAATAAGCTAATTATCACTGCATGCAGCTTGGGCTTATTGGCTATACAATCATTAGAATAATATATTATAGTTAAATACTCTAACAATGTAATTATAGATGCACATAGATAGAAGATAGTATTTACAAAATGTGAATTATAGATCATTGAAAGAAATACATACTGTCTAATTCTGAATGTAGAGAAATGTAAACCAGACAACTTAACCATATCTATGTATCCCATGCTAGGTCTAAGGGTGTCTTGCACTACCTTATAATGAACCGGATAAAAAGTAGGTTAGCGTTCCCTTTTTTCTTTTCCTATTTTCATTTTATTTAATAAAAATTGCACGAACACTTAACTTATCCATTTACTCCCTTATAGTTGAAACAATCTAAAATAGTGGAAGAACCATGAATTACAGAAACCAGTAATTACAAC
This sequence comes from Homo sapiens, assembly GCF_000001405.40. Classification (NCBI taxonomy): domain Eukaryota; kingdom Metazoa; phylum Chordata; class Mammalia; order Primates; family Hominidae; genus Homo; species Homo sapiens. The sequence goes on along the minus strand of NC_000003.12, from coordinate 165,458,680 downwards.
CATTAATTCAGAAGAGTTAGCTAAATATAAGATAAAATCCTTGGCCACTACAACTCTGAGTGTGATCCACGAACGGTAATTTCTCAAGATGCCCTATAGGGGAGAAACTTTTTTCATGTTCAAACAGATGAGGGAAACACTGTTTATTATAACTACAATTTTAGAAGTCACGCTTCGCATTGGTATGTTAAATATTATAAGCTGTTCTCATTTAAACCTAAGCAAAGCTAATCTAAATGAGAAACAAACAATAACAACAAAATTCTGCTTAATGTTATTTAACAAACCATTACAAACAATAGACCTTGGATATTATTTGTAATTAACACTTATTTACAAGAGCTTGAGTTCTGTGTATCATATTTGGGTAATAAAAGTTAATGTATTAGATAAGAAAACAAAATTATTGAGGAGTTAGAACATGATTACTCATTTTTAAACAAAAGGATAAACAAATAATCAGTAGTAGAATCTCCTTAATTTAAAGAACTAACTTAATAAACAGAGCCTATTCTCAGATAGTTTTAATGCTAAAAAAAGGCAATTCACGAAGCCATAAAGATTCTGTTTTCACTACATATTTATCAATAAGTATTGAGTATTTCATATAATGTACTATTTTCATAAACTATTTTCATGAAACAAGGTAATGAATGCTATTTATGGCTCCTGGATAATTGTTTAAAATCATGAAAATTTTTCAATTAACAGTAAATTCTGATGCTTAAAAATACCTGCTTTATGAAAAAGAAGTTGGTAGAAGATCAAGATGAAATCACATTTTTTTAATTAATTATGTAATCGTGGAAAATTTACTTAACCTTGGACAATTTGTTAAAAGATATCAATCACGCTTTCTTTATTCATCTCTAGAATTATTGTCAGGATCAAATAAAATATAAGAAAGCATACTGAAAAGCATCACAAAACATGGTATAATTGAAGAGATTTAAATTGTAGCTTTTACTAGGAAGTATCTTAAATTCTGTTAATACTAGTATTCACCTAGAAAACAAAATTTACTTATTCAAAATTTATTTATTGACTGGAGTGCCAAGTATGTGCCAGTACCTGTTCTAAAAGCTTTCCATATATAATTAAGCAAAAAAGACAAATCAGTAGAATTCTTATCTTGCTGGATACCACAATATAATGTCTTTGCTTTTTCTGGCTGGTCATAAATTTTATCATGCTTTTTGCCAACTCCAAAATAAGAGAAAGTTTGCCAGAGGGATCTTAGTTGGTGAATATATTAGTCTTTTGTAACTAATTGCTGTAAAATTATTATTATATCAGAGTCGTGGGAACCAGGGCAACTTCATCTTGAATAGAGGCTGGGTAAAATGAGGCTGAGACCTGCTGGGTTGCATTCCCAGAAGGATGAGCATTCCTAGTGACAAGATATTTAAGATATTTCCAGTTAAGGGAATAGATGAATAATGTCTGCTAAACAGACCCGGCACTTAACAAAGCCAGGAAGTGTCCTGATATCCCACATCTAAAGGACAAAAACATTCTTTTTTTTTTTTTTTTTGGAGTTGGAGTCTCGCTCTGTCGCCCAGGTTGGAGTGCAGTGGCGCGATCTCTGCTCACTGCAAGCTCCCCGTCCCGGGTTCACCCCATTCTCCTGACTCAGCCTCCTGAGTAGCAGGGACTACAGGCGCACGCCACCAGGCCCGGCTAATATTTTTGTATTTTTAGTAGAGACGGGGTTCCACCGCGTTAGCCAGGACGGTCTCGATCTCCTGACCTCGTGATCTGCCCACCTCAGCCTCCCAAAGTGCTGGGATTACAGGCGTGAGCCACCGCGCCCAGCCGACAAAAACATTCTTAGTTTAATAATGAGTTTCTTGCCAAAGTCAACAGTTACACAAAGCTTAATAATCTTTTGTCAGGAGTCCTTGTACTGGAGCCCATTTCCCCCATGATTTTTTGCCTTTATTTTATTTTAATTTTATTTTTATTTTCGTTCAGTTGTTGTAGGGGAATAAGGTGGTGTTTCATTGCATGGAAAAGTTCTTTAGTGGTGATTTCTGAAATTTTGGTGCACCTATCACCTGAGCAGCTTACTCTGTACCCAATGTGTAGTCTTTTGTTTTTCACCACCTGCCAATCTTCTCTCCAAGTCCCCAAAGTTCATTATGTAACTCTTATGCCTTTGCATCCTCATAGCTTAGCTCCCACTTTTAAGTGAGAACATAAAATGTTTGGTTTTCCATTCCTGAGTTACTTCACTTAGAATAATGGTCTCTAACATCCCAGTTGCTGCAAATGCCATTATTTTGTTCCTTTTTATGGCTGAGCAGTATTCCATGGCAGATATATATATATCACATTTTCTTTATCTACTTGCTTGTTGATGGGCATTGAGGCTTGTTACATATTTTTGCAATTGCAAATTGTCCTGCTATAAATGTGTGTACGAGTGTCTTTTTCATATAATGACTTCTTTTCCTCTGAGTAGATACCCAGTACTGGGATTGCTGGATCAAATGGTAGTTCTACTTTTAAATGGTTGTATTAATTTATATTCTCACCAGCAGTGTATAAATGTTCCTTTTTTTTTTAACCACATAATGCCAACATCTATTTTTTTTGACCTTTTACCAATGGCCATTCTTGCAGGAGAAAGGTGGTATCCTATTGTAGTTTTAATTTGGATCTCCCTGACGATTAGTGATGTTGAGCATTTTTTCATGTGTTTATTGGCTGTTTGTATATATTCTTTTGAGAACCGTCTAATCATGTCCTTTGCTCACTTTTGGATGGGATTATTTGTTTTTTCTTGCTGATTTCTTTGAGTTTCTTGTAGTTTCTGGATATTAGTCCTTTGCCGAATGCATAGTTTACAAATATGTTCTCCCACTTTGTAGGCAGCCTGCTTAGTCTGCTGATTATTTCTTTGGCTTTAATTAGGTCCCATCTACTCATTTTTTTATATGCTGTATTTGCTTTTGGATTCTTGGTCATGAATTATTTGCCTAAACCAATGTCTAGAAGGTTTTGATCCATCTTGTGTTGATTTTTGTATAAGGTAAGAGATGAGGACCCAGCTTACTTCTTCTCCATGTGGCTTGACAATTATAACAGCACAATTTGCTGAGTAGGGTGTCCTTTCCCCACCGCAAGTTTTTGTTTGCTTTTTGAAGACCAGCTGACTGCAAATATTTGGCTTTATTTCTGCGTTCTCTATTCTGTTCAATTGGTCTATGTGCCTATTTTTATACCAGAGCCATGCTATTTTGGTGACTATGGCCTAGTAGTATAATTTGAAGTAGTGTAATGTGATGCCTCCAGATTTATTCTTTTTATTTAATCTTGCTTTGGCTATGTAGTCTCTTTTACGGTTCCACATCACTTTTAGGATTGTGTTTTCTAGTTCTGTGAAGAATTGACATGGCAGTGGGACAGGGATGTGCTGGATAGAAAAAGGTGGGGTCTCTGGCGACGGCTCCACTCTCAGGCTTGTGCCCATGGAACTAAGTGAGAGCAGGCACTCCTGTTTTTGCACCCAAATGTTGCATTTTCCAAGACCACTCTGGCATGCCATGCCCTCCATTCTGTGCCCATAGAAACCTGAGACCCTAGTGGGCAGAGACACAAGCAGCTGGACATCAAAAGGAGCAGAAGAGCACACTGACAGACACCAGTAGACACTGGCAGGCCATTGAGGGGGAATGACGTGGAATTTGGTCGGGGACAGTCAGAGGAGAGTCTGGCCACTGGGCAGCTTGATTCAGAGGAAAACCACCTTCCCACTCCATCCCCCTTCTGGCTCCCAGTCCACCTTGGTGAGAGCTACCTCCACCACTCAATAGAACCTTGGACCCATCCTCCAAGCCCATGTGTGATCTGATTTTTCTGTGACACTAGGTCAAGAACCGAGGATACAGAAAGCCCTCTGTCCTTGACATAAGGTAGAGGGTCTAATTGAGCTGATTAACACAAGCCACAAGATGACAAACCTGACAAAGCACACTGTAATACACACTCACTGGGGCTTTGAGAGCTCTAACACTCACCCTATACGTTGCTGTGGGGTCAGAGCCCCAAAATGCACCCCACAACCTGCCCCTGTCTGCATGCTCCCCCTAGGGGTTTGAGCAGCGGGGCACCAAAGAAGCGAGCCACACCCCTATCACACACCCTAGGAGGGGGATAAGGGAACTCCTCCCATTTCAGAATGATGGTGGTATTTTCATGGGAAATGCATTGAATGTATAGATTGTTTTTGGCAGTATGATCATTTTCACAATATTGATTCTACCCATCCATGAGCATGGGATGTGTTTCCATTTGATTGTGTCATTGATGATTTCTTTCAGCAGTGTTTTGTAGTTTTCCTTTTAGAGATCATCCATCTTTCATCTTTCATTGGTTAGTTATATCCCTAAGTATTTTATTTTATTTTTTTTCACAGCTGTTGTAAAAGGAATTGAGTTCTTGGTTTGATTCTCAGCTTGCTCACCCTTGGTGTATAGCAGCACTACTGATTTGTGTACATTGATTTTCAATCCTGAAACTTTACTGAATTCCTTTTTCCTCTCCATGAGCTTTCTGGACGAGTCTTTAGGGCTTTCTAGTTATACAATCATATCATTGGCAAACTGCAACAATTTGACTTCCTCTTTATCAATTTGGTTGCATTTTATTTCTTTTTCTTGCCTAATTGCTCTAGCTAGGAATTCCAGTACTATAATGAATAGAGGTGGTGAAAGTGGCCATTCTTGTCTTGTTCTAGTTCTTGGTTCTTTCAACTTTTCCCAATTCAGTATAATGTCGGCTGTGGGTTTGTCATAGATAGCTTTTGTTATCTTGAGATATGTTCCTTCTATGGCACTTTTGCTGAGTATTTTAATCATAAAGTGATGCTGAATTTTGTCAAATGCTTTTTCTGCATCTATTGAGATGATCATATTATTTTTGTTTTGAATTCTGTGTATGTGATGTATCACATCCATTGACTTGTGTATGTTAAACTATCCCTGAATCCCTGGCATAAAACCAACTTGATCATGTGGATTATCTTTTTAATATGCTGTTGAATTCAATTAACTAGTATTTTGCTGAGGATTTTTGCATCTATGTTCACCAGGGATATTGATCTGTAGTTTCTTTTTTGTTTGTTTGTTTGTTTGTTATATCTTTTCCTGGTTTAGGTATTAGGGTGATATTGGCTTCATAGGATGCTTTAGGGAGGATTCCCTTTTTCTCTCTCTTTCGAAGTAGTTTCAGTAAGATTGGCACCAATTCTTCTGTGAATGCCTGATAGAATTCAGCTGTGAATCCATCTGGTCCTGAACTTTATTTATTTGCCTTTTTAAATTACTGTTTCAATTATACTACTTGTTATTGGTCGGTTAAGAGTTTCTATTTCTTCCTGATTTAATCTAGGAGGGTTATATATTTCCAGGAAATTATCCATATCCTCTAGATTTTTTGAGTTTGTGTGCAAAAACGTGTTCATAGTAACCTTGAAAGATCTTTTGTAGTTTTTTTTTTTTTTTTTTTTTTTTGTATTTCTGTGAGGTACTGTTCTATTTGTCATGTCAGTTGTTGCCTGAATACCTTGGGTTTTTTTTCATTGTGTTGTTTTATAGGCACTGTGAGATTTATACATTAAACAGTTTCTATTTTGGTGTATTTTAAGATTTTGTTTCAAGATTAGAACTCTTTATCATTTCTTTAGTGCAGCCTTGGTAGTAACATTTGTTTGTCTGAAAAAAATACTTTATCTTTTCTTCATTTTTTGAAGCTCAGTTTTGCTAGATACAAAATTATTGGTTGACAATTATTTTGTTTCAGGAGGCTAAAGACAGGACCCAATACTTTCTGGCTTGTAGAGTTTCTGTTGAGAAATCTGCCGATAATCTAATATGTTTTCCTTTACAGGTTACCTGGTGCTTTTGTCTCACAGCTCTTAAGATTTTTTTCCCTTTTCTTGACTTTAGGTAACCTGACGACTATTTGCCTGGGTGATGATCTTTTTGGGATGAGTTTCCCAAATGTTCTTTGAGCTTCTTGTATTTGGATGTCTAGATCTCTAGCAAGGCCAGGGAACTTTTCCTCAATTATTCCCTCAAATATGTTTTCCAAAATTTTAGGTTTCTCTTCTTCCTCAGGAAAACCAATTATTCTTAGGTTTGGCTATTTAACATAATTCCAGATTCCTTAGAGGCTTTGTTCATTTTCTTTTTTTTTTTTGTCTCTCTGTAATTATGTTAATTTGAAAGCCTTGTCTTCAAGCTCTGTCTTCTACTTGTTCGATGCTATTTTTGAAGGTTTCCAGTCATTTTTTATGTCTCTTAAGTGTGTCTTTCATCTCCAAAGTTGTGATTATTTTTCTTTCTAATATTTATTTCTCTGAAGAATTTCTCATCCATATTCTGTATTTTTTTAATTGTTTTAAAGTTGGTTTTCACCTTTATCTGGTATCTCTTTGAGTAGCTTAATATCAATCTTCTGAATTATTTATCTGGGAATTCAAAGCTTTATTTTTGTTTTGGATTCTTTGCTGTGGTCTTTCTGGGGTGTTATAGAAACTTGTTTTGGCATATTACCAGAATTACCTTTTGATTCCTTCTCATTTGGGTAGACTATTTCGGTGGAAAGGTCTGGAACTTAGGGGCTGCTGTTCAGATTCTTTTGTCCCACGGTCTCTTGTTGTGGTGCACGCCTCCTTCCACTAAAGATGGGGCTTCCTGTGAGCCACACTGCAGTGATTGTTATTACTCTTCTGGGTATAGTCACACAATAGGGCCACCAGCCTCTGGCCTGGTGCTGGGGAATGTCTGCAAAGTGGCTTGTGATGTTATCTGTCTTCAGGTTTCCCAGCTATGGATACCAGCACTTGCTCTGGTGGAGGTGGGAGGGGAGTAAAGTAGACTCTGTGAGAGTCCTCTGTTGTAGATATGTTTGGTGTGCTGGCTTTCTCGAATGCTTGTTATGCTAGCAGTGAAATTGTCACATGGACAGACTCAGGACCACTGGTTAGCCGGGATGTTGCAGGTAGCAGAATTAGCTGTTGTTTCCTCCTTCCTGGGAACAGGGTTATTCTGTATGAGTTTCTGTAATGTCCTGAGTTGGTTGGCCTCCAGCCATGAAGTGGTGCTTTCAAGAGAGCACAAGAGATTTTTGCCTGTCTCATGGAATTTTCAGTGACCTGCCACTTCTTTCAAAGTATCTGTGAATTCTTTTGGTTTTCAACAAGCATTGTACCAAAGTGGGTGCATTCCTTCTCTGTCTAGAAGTAGCCATTATTTTATTTCTTTACTGTGCTAACAAACTTGTTTTCACTTTACTTTGTGGACCCTCTCCAAATTATTTCTTGCATGAGATCAAGAACTCTCTCTTGGGGTCTGGATCAGGACACATTTCCGCTAACAGTTATATAATTAGTAGAAAGCACTCATTCAAATGATAGCCTTAGTCCTATAAGTTGTTTGATGTTGAAAAGTTACATTTTAATGTAAGTTTATACAATGGAAATAAACACATTCATTCAACTAACACTTACTGAGTTTCTATTATGTTCTCAGCACCATTCTCTCTCTCTCTCTCTCTCTCTATATATATATATATATACACACACATCTTATATATAAATCTTATAAATATAATCTTGTATAATGTCATATATGTTGTATATATCATATATGTCATAAATGTCACATATATGACATACATGTCATGTATATCATATATATATATGCCATTTGAAGGAAATAAAAATATTACATGCCAAAATATGGCTCCTTGATATAATGAGTACTTTAAATTAAAGTCTCTCCTAGATTAACAAGCCCTGGAATAGGCTTTTTTCCTATCTACATAAAGATAAGAACTGACCTACAAAGGAGAACAATTATTCTTGTTCCTCTCCTTGTTATCTCATTATCCATTACAGGAAAGAAAACCAGAAACATAACTATATTTGAACAGAATCCTTTTCCAGAAACACTGTCTCTAAGATTTCCTTAATTCCATAGAAAACAATTTACAATTTTATTTCTGTTCCCTAGTAACATTTATTGTGCCTTAGTAGAATTCCTCTTTTCTCCCCTGCTCTTCTAACCTATTTTACCAGGATCCAAGCCTTCATTCTTTCTGTAACCTCAAGATTGTAAATAAGCCTCTGCACCTCATTGGGAAGTTGGTCTTCACTTCATTCTGAAGTCTCCCATGTATATGCCTTTAATAAATTTGTATGCCTTTTCTTTTACTAATTAATCTGCCTCATGTCAGTAATTTTCAGTGAATCATAGAGGGCCAAGAGCCTTGTCCTCCATACACTGGAAAAACGGACAGTGTTCCTTCCCTAGTGAGGTATATATTTCAATTCAGAGCATATGCAAATCTTATTTTCCTGGTAGAGATTTAGAGAAAGAATTAAGAAGATAACTATAAGAAGACTACTTAGTACATTGCCTGGCAAGAAGTTGATGTCCATTAAATGGTAACTAAAAAGAAATATTTATATAAATTAAATATGTTTTATTATCAAGAGAAAAAATTACTTCTAATATTGATATACTCTTAAGATGAATAATCTTACCAATCATGAATTTAAGATAGTATCTATTCAAATTTTATTGAGGTTATTAGTGCAAAGCAGGAGATATTAGATGAGTTCATCAAAAAACAAATTGTAACACTTCAAAGTTATATAACAATGAAATATTTCACCAAGGGAGAACTTTGTAAATGGCAACCTTTTTCTCATTATGGAGTTGGCAGGTAATGATGACTGGACATGGTGAGATTACTAATCGGCAATAAAGCAGGTAGTGTAACATCAAATCCACTACCATCCCAATTCTGCAGAGCAAATTACTAAGAGGATGTGTTCCTTGTGGAAATTGGATGTGTATTGTCTAGGAGATTGAAAAAAGACCACTGTGAAATTGTAGGCTGCTTATCATCAGCTCTCTGAAGGCAGGAGTAAAGCCCTGCTTTCTAATATTTGCAAATTCCTGTGATGCTATTATTTGGTACTGTTCAATTATTGCATGCTTTGTTTATTCAACATTGCCAGGGAAGAAAGCAACATTATTACTGAAACATAAATACAACTAAGAATATATTTCACACTCCCATAAAGAGAATTTATAATAAACGTCCATTTGTTCATGCCACAGAAAGAACAATCTTAACTTTCTGTCATATTTTCATCAGATAAGGGTATCTTAGGTTTTGAAAACTGTGTTCTCAGAAAATAAATAAAATAAAGAATATTCAGAGTAAGATTTTTAAAAATTTTTTAATTTTTCATTTCAATGGATTTTGGGGGAACAGGCAGTGTTTGGTTACATGAATAATTTCTTTAGTGGTGATATCTGAAATTTTGCAGCACCCATCACCCAAGCAGCGTATACTGTACCCAACTGTAGCCTTTTATCTCTTGCCACCCCCTACCTTTTCCCCCAGTATCCATCAGTTTTGTTTGTTCTTGTTTCTCCAGTTTTATGAGACGTGACCTTAGATTGTCTATTTTTGCTCTTTCAGACTTTTTAATATAGGCATTTAATCCTGTGAACTTTCCTATTAGCACTGTTTTGCTGTATCCCAGTTTTGATAGGTTGTGTCACTATTGTCGTTCAGCTCAAAAAAAAATTTTAACTTCCATCTTGATTTCATTGTTGACCCAACCATCATCCAGGAGCAGGTTATTTAATTTCCATGTATTTGCATGTTTTAAGGGTTCCTTTCAGAGTTGATTTCCAATTTTTTTCCACTGTGGTCTGAGGGAATACTTGATATAATTTTGATTTTTTTGAATTTACTGGGACTTGTTTTGTAGCCTATCATATGGTCTATCTTGGAGAGTGTTCCATGTGCTGATGAGTAGAATGTGTATGCTGCAGTTGTTGGGTAGAATGTTCTGTAAATATCTGTTAAGTCCATTTGTTGTGGAGTACAATGTAGGTACTGTAGGTCCATTGTTTCTTTGTTGACCTTCTGTCTTGATGACCTGACAAGTGCTGTCAGTGGAGTATTAAAGTCCCCCACTTTATTGTTTTGCTGTTTATTTCATTTCGTCAGTCTGGTAGTAATCGTTCTGTAAATTTGGAAGCTCCAGTGTTTGGTGGATATATATTTAGATTTGCAATGTTTTCCTGTTGGCCTAGTCCTTTTATCATCATATAATGTCCCCTTTTGTCATTTTTAACTGCTGTTGCTTAAAAGTTTGTTTTATCTGATAGAAAAAATAGCTATTCCTGCTCACTTTTGGTGTCGATCTTCATGGAATATCTTTTTTCACCCATTTACCTTAAGTTTATATGAGTCCTTATGTGTTGAGTCTCCTCAAGACAGCAGAAACTTGGTTTGTGAATTTGTATCTATTCTGCCATTCTGTATCTTTTAAGTGGAGCATTTAGGCTATTTACGTTCAATGTTAGTACTGAGATGTAAGGTACTATTCTATTCGTGTGCTATTTGTGGCCTGAATACCTTTTTTTTTTTTAATGTTGTTATTGTTATATAGGTCCTGTGAGATTTATGCTTTAAGGAGGTTCTATTTTAGTGTATTTTGAGGAGGATTTGTTTCAAGATTTAGAGCTCTTTTTAGCAGTTCTTGTAGTGCTGGCTTGGTAGCGGCAAATTCTCTCAGCATTTGTTTATCAGGGAAAGACTGAATCTTTCCTTTATTTATGAAGCTTAGTTACACTGGATACAAAATTTTTGGCTGATAATTGTTTTGTTTAAGGAGGCTAAAAATAGGTCCCCAATCCATTCTGGCTTGTAGGGTTTCTGCTGAGAAATCTGCTCTTAATCTGATAGGTTTTACTTCATGGGTTATCTCATGCTTTTGCTTCACATCTCTTAAGGTTCTTTCCTTCATCTTGACTTTAGACAACCTCATGACTATGTGCCCGGGTGATTTTTTTTTGTGATGAATTTGCCAGGTCTTCTTTGAGCTTCTTTCATTGGATGTCTAGATCTCTGGCAAGGCTGGAGATGTTTTCCTCAATTATTCCCTGAAATATGTTTTCCAAATTTTTAGATTTCTCTTCTTCCTTGGGAACACCAATTATTCTTGGGTTTGGACATCTAACATTGTCCCAAACTTTTTGGAGCCTTCGTTCATTTTTTGAAAAAATTCTTTTGTTTTTGACTTTAATGGTTTGAGTTAATTCAAATGCCTTGTCTTCAAGCGCTTAAGTTTTTTTTTTTCTGCTGTTCAACTTGATTGCTTAGACTTTCCAGCGCATTTTTCATTTCTCTAAGTGTGTCCTTGATTTCCAGAGGTTATATTGTTTTTTATTTATGCTATCTATCTCACTGAAGAATTTTCTTTTTATATCCTGTATCATGCTTTTTATTTAAGTTGGACTTAACCTTTCTCTTGTGCCTCCTTGATTAGCTTAATAATCGACCTTATTAATTATTTTTTGGCAATTCAGAGATTTCATCTTAGTTTGGATCCATTCTTGGTGAGCTGGTATAATTTTCAGGGGGTATTAAAGAACCTTGTTTTCAGGGGGTATTAAAGAATCAGAATTGTTTTTCTGGTTCCTTCTTATTTGGGTAGACTATGTCGATGGGAAGCTCTGGGATTCAAGGTCTGCTGTTCAGATTCTTTTGTCCCTCGGGGTGCTTCCTTAATGTGGTGTTCTGCTCCTTCCCCTAGGAATGGGGCTTCCTGAGAGCTAAACTGTAGTGATTGTTTCCACTCTTCTGGGTCTAACCACCCAGTGGAGCTACTGGGCTCCAGGCTGGTACTGAGGAGTGTTTTCAAGGAGTTTTGTGATGTGATCTATCTTCAGGTCTTGCAGCCATAGATACCAGCACCTGCTCTGGTGGAGGTAGCAGGGGAGTGAAGTGGACTTTGTGAGGGACTTTGGTCGTGTTTTTATTTAGGGTGCTGCTTTTGTCTTTGTTGGCCTCTAGCCAGGAGGTGGCACTTTTGAGAGTGCATCAGCTGCAGCCCTATAAGGAAATGCGAACTTGCCCTAGGCACACCTGGTTAAGTAGTCAGGTTTCTTAGGCAGTGGGCAGGGCCATAGAGTTCCCAAGAGATTATGATTATGATTTTTGTCTTCAGCTACCAGGATGGGTAGAGACAGATCACCAAGTGGGGGCAGAGATATGGGTGTCTGAGCTCAGCCTCTCCTTGGGCGGGGCTTACTGCAGCTGCTGTAGGGGATGGGAGTGTGGTTCCCAGTCCAATGGATTTATATTCCCGGGGTGATTATGGCTGCCTCTGCTGAGTCATACAGGTCACCAGGCAAGTGGGGGAAAGCCAGCAGTCACAGGCTTCACCCTGCTCCTATGCAGCCTGCAGTCCTAAAGGGTGTTCTCAGTCCCACTGTGCTTCCCCAACACCACCAAGTCTATTTCCAGGTAGCCAGTGACCAGGGCTGAGAACTTGCCCCAGTCCACAAGCCTCCCTGCTGAGAAAGCAAGCAGACTCACAAGTTTTCTTCAGCATCTCAGGGAGCCTGCGGTGGTGATCAAGATCCTTCTGTGGATTCTCTCAGCTTTCCTGGTATGGTCCTGCAGTAGTTCTTGGAGCAAAAGTTCATGATGTGAGTCTCCACACACTGGTCTGTCTGTCTCAGTGGAAGTTGCAGATTAGTCCTGCCTCCGATCTGCCATCATGATTTTCTCTACTTCCAGAGTAACATAAATTTGCCCTGCAATTTATTTTAATCATGATAAAAAATATACGATTAGGAAATATCCTTCATTATTTAGTGTAAACATAATGCAAAACTTTTAAAAATATGAGGTAACTTGAAATGTTGTTTGTCTTTACCTAAGGGTTGAAAGTATCAAAAATAAAGCACTGTCGACAGCCAGGTACAGTGGCTCACGCCCGTAATCCTATTACTTTGGGAGGCTGAGGTGGGTGGATCACGAGGTCAGGAGTTCAAGACCAGCCTGACCAATATGGTGAAACCCCGTCTCTACTAAAAACACAAAAATTAGCCGGGCATGGTGGCGCACGCCTGTAGTCCCAGTTACTCAGGAGGCTGAGGCAGGAGAATTGCTTGAACCCGAGAGGCGGAGGTTGCAGTGAGCTGAGATTGAGCCACTGCATTCCAGCCTGGGTGACAGAGTGAGACTCTATCTCAAAAAAAAAAAAAAAAAAAAAAAAAAAGAAAGAAAGCACTGTCTATATTATACATTTATATTCTCGATTTTGGAGTATGTTTAAGCCATAAATTCTGATACTACTTAGAGTTGGGCCAAACTTCACAGGTTAAGGACATAGATTTCCAAAAGAATGCCCTCACTGCAGAGCTGGCTACTAATTTAAGGCTTCTACTACTCCTCAGGTTCAATAATTCACAGAACAAAGGAAAGTGCTATTCTTATGATTAGAGCATTATTATAGCAAAAAGATACAAATCAGAACCAGTCAAAAGAAGAGATTTGTAGGGCAAGGTATGGAAGGATCTTAAATAAGAGGGATCTTTTGCCTTTTCCCCATGGAGTCAGGAGGAATCACCCTTCTGTCATATCTACATGTGACCATATGTAGATTATTGCCAATCAGGGAAGCTCATCTGAGATTTGTGCCCACAGTTTTTACTGGGGTTTTGTTAGGTAGACATGATTGATTCAATCATTTGCTATGAGATTGAACTCAGTCTTCAGCCCCTCTCCTCTACCCAGAGGTTATGCTATTATCACGTAGTTCAAAGCTCCTAAACCTCTAATCATATTGTTGGTCTTTCTGCTATGTACAACCTCTATTCTGAGTCATCTCATTAACACAAACTTTCTAGGGGCGCCCATGAATTACCTCCTTAGGACAAATGTATCATCATCAAGGCTCACCAAGAATGATAAAGACATTCCGTTCCCTAAAGATTTACATCCTTTCCAAGGATTTGAAGCTACTTCTTGGGAATCGGAGGCAAAGGCCAGCCAAATTCTTGATTACATAGGAGTTTATTTTGAAATTTTTATCCCATCAGTACAATCTAAAATATATAAATTGTTATTTCATATTATCTTCACTATTGAGTATTGAGAAATTCAGAAATGTCCACTTGTACAAAGGTTATTTCTAGTGGAAAAGCCCTGGCTAGAAAGTCCACAGCACCGTGTTTATGCTTCAGGTAGCAGAAAACAAAGAGCACAATGTTCAAGCCAGAGGCCACGGGTTTGAGCTCTAGTTCTGTTATATACTAATGGTGATTTTGGACTAATTGCAGCCTCTGGGTCTTAATTGGCTATTGTGAAATAGATACAATAATAATTCCTATTCTGGCTGAATAACAAGTCGGTTGTAGTTTACAAAGAATAGCTAATTAATATAAAAATAAAACTATAAAACTATTTTTGTTGTTTTGAGATAGGGTCTTGTGCTCTGTCACCCATGCTGGGTGTGATCATAGTGCAGTGGTGTGATCATAGCTCACTGAAGCATATAAAACTCTTATAGATGTTATTTTTAAGTCCTAGCTCTAACACTCTTTACCTGTGTAACCTGATGTAACCAGTAAGGAACAAAGGGATATGTAGATGTCCTATGACCACAATGTGCTGATGAGCTCACTTAAATTAACTTAGTCCTTTAAAGAAACCTGACAAGAAGGTGTGATTATCTACATTTTGAAAGTTAAGAAAATTAAATTGAGAAAGATTAAGTACTTTTCTGACTTCACATAAGGAGTGACTATCAGACCTATTTAGGCTATACTATTTTACGTGACTTATCTAAATGATGGACTGCAACTGTATAATTCCTATGATAACTTCCAGCTGTAAAACACCATGACATTTTCTTTTGAGAGATTACAGATTGTGTGGTCAAAAAAGACTAGTGGCCATCTGACCTCAGCAGGAAAGAAGGCCAAGGTACTGGGAGGGATTGTGACATCTTTGAAAGCAAATAGTGCAATTGTTTCTCAAAGGCAGATGATAGGTACTAGGTAAGAAGGTTATTTTAGCAGTTGATGTAAGATATGTTATGTTATAGTGACAAAGCACATTAAAATATCAGTGGCTTAACATAATAAAAGTTGATTTCTCCTATTGATGCTACATGGAGAACTATAAGGGTTTCACTCAGACACCCAAGTGCTAAGATTGCACGGAAGCTTAAGTTTTCATGGGCAGGGAAGATAATACATCATGAAACAGCTTGTAAAGTTTCTGTTTGGCTATTTTTTTTTTTAGCTTTAAGGGGGCAACAAAGGACAATTCTATTATATGTCTAAAGGAAGGAAAGCTGGACATATTTAGAAAACACCTATAACGAATACTGTTTCACCTACTTTCCATTTGTATAATATTCTGCAAGTTGCAAATCACTGTATTCCACATTATTTCACTAATGATGACAATAATGTTGGTACTCAGAAACCAGCACACCAAAATGTGAAGCCTCTTTATCTTCCCAAGATTTGGACCCACCAGGGAATATAACAGTTTTCTTCCCTCTCTGTAAGACCAAAGATATATCCACACCGGAACAGACCTTTTTTTTGAGGTAATGACTATCTGCAAGCATCATTTAAATTCCAAAGAGAACTATTTACAAGTTAATTTATGTTCCCAGATCCATCATTTTCCCTAGTAATCATTTATTGCCCTTCAACGGAGTTCCTCTTCTCCCCGTCCCATACATAACCTGTTTTTCTGTAACCTCATTCTGTCTGTAATCTCAAGATGGCATATAAGCTTCTGTACTGCATTGGGAAGTTGGGTCTTCATTCTGAATGCTCCCTTGTATACACATTAAATAAATATGTATGCCTTTTCTATTATTAATTAATTTGCCTCATGTCAGTGATTTTCAGTGAACCTTTATTTAGGGAGCCAAAAGTCTTGGCCCCCAACAATAAAAAACTGCATTAGTAATAGCTCAGAAATAAGCATACATGCAATATATAATTTTAGTAGGCTTTGAGTGCCTCAACTCAAATAAATTATATAAAAGTTTTGGCATTAGACTTTTGCAACCAAAGTAATATGTTGAGGTAAAAAACCGTCGTATTTATGTAAGAAATCCAAAATTTGGGGGTTTCAAACCATTTAGTTCAGGAACCAGAATAGAAATAAAAATAGTGAAGCAACACAAGCAGTTTTCTATTCTCTGCCATATACATACACACTTTATATATCCCATGTGAAAAATAAGTAGAAGAACCATATAAATTACTGCCCAAACTAGGACACTTTGGGAGTAAACAGAGATATTATTAATACTTACAATAAGACAAGTATAAAGCAGAACTATTACACAAAACCAGGCATGTATTATCATCCTAAAAGAGTTCAGAAAGAAATTATCTTTAATGATTTAAAAATTAATTTATTTTTTTCTTTCTATGCTGTAAATATACAACCATAACAGTTCAAGTTGAAAAAGCATTTATTTATCTACTTCTTTATTTAACAAACATGTGTGTGTACTTTATGCCAAGCACTGATATACACTGGGGAGAGAAGTATTAATTTGCTTTAGATGAGAATTACAGAATGAAGTTACAAGTTTATAAACACAATTCTTAAGAAACATTCATCTGATATGTTTTGTGATGCTGAAACATAGCAGATGATGATTTCTTAACTAATTTTTATAGAAATCTCAAAAACATTTCCCAATTCTTAACTTATTTCCTTTAGTTTAAAAGTCTAAACTATTTTCAGTATAAATTTGAAACTAAGTATATATGCATTGATGTGTTTAAAATTAAAATAAATATAAGCAAATTACACTTTGCTTTATGATCCATGTCTCACTAAATACTGTTTGATTGCCTTAACCTATTGAATTTAAAAACAAGAACCATGCAACAGAGGCAATTTCTTTAAAAAGCTTGATAATAGTACAGACATTTCATAAACAAACTTAAAATGTAACAACATGAAGATTTTTAAGGTAGAATTTTCTAGCTCTACCATTTGTGGGGATCCTCTTTGACTCCCAAATTTGGCATAACATTTATTTTAAATTGAAAATATTTGAACTAGAGAAGATGCAGCAGAAATCTTATTGGAACTTCCCTTATCTGCTAAAGTATAAACTCCCCAAAACATAGCTGTTATTAACCCTCCCCAAAGGGAGTTTCCTGCAAATTAGCTGCCAAGAAGATAATCCATTTCTGTTACCATTAAACAACCCTATGGAATCTCTCATACTCTCTCATTGGAGCCCTAAAATCTTTCCTTTCATTAAGCTTATATATAGAAACATTTACTTCCGGCTATTCTATGACTTTTTCCATTATTGAGAGCTCCTTCATAAGCATATAAATCAACATTGTCTTTTCTCCTGTCAATATGTATATTGTCATTTAATTTCCAGGCCACCAACCACTGGACCCAAGTGAGAAGAGAAAAATATTTTTTTTTGCAACACATTCTTAGATCTGTGATATAATTTTATATTTTTCCTTTGAAAAAGTAACCTTTTCTCCTTAAATGATTTCTAGACAGTTTAATAAGCTGTACTATGGTCCAAATGTGTCTCTCCAAGCCTTACCATAGGTTTTATATGTTGACATGTGGAGACACAGTAATAAGGTTCATCTACAAACGAGGATAAAAGCTCTCAACAGACACTCAATCTGCCAACACCTTAGACTTCCCAGGCTTCAAAACTAGGAGAAATAAATTTTTATTGTTTACAAGCTAACCAGTCTATGGTATTTTGTTATAGCTGCCCAAAAAAAATGAAGACAAGGTAGTATTGCTTGAGGTAGTGAGTTTTTAAAATATTCACGTTACTCGATTTTAAAATTAGGAATATCAAATTTTTATTAAAAAATAGTTGTGAGATTAAAAAGATTATATAATTTAAAAATGACATGGCAATTTGGAATGTACAGAGAGAGTTTAATGTAAATGTTTTGATGAATGAATTATTTTAATCACTAATTAATTGTAGTTGTGAAGAAATTTAAAAAGTTATTCTACAAATATAGCAAAGATAAATTTAATTAGAATTACCACAGTTATTCCAGAAAAAAATAAATAAATACAGAACACAAAATATTCTACAAAATAATCTAAAATAGCAGTAATAGCTTGACTACTTATCCAGAACTTTATGCAACTGAGAAACTTGAAAGTACGGGGCCTAGCCATTGAACACAAAACCACTAGTTGGTGATAGTCCCACAAATAGAGCTTGCGGCTAGCTCCTAGCTAAATGTGAAACAGCAAATGAGAAACTTCACCTCAGTAGAGTAAGCAGACCCAAAAGTCCCCTTTTATGTGAAAATTATTTTTTAATGTTGTCATAAAAGATATTCTAAAAGTATTTTCTAATACTTACTCAGGTGGTTTGGATAGCCAATAATAAGCAATTAGGAGGGAGTATTTTTTTCTAGCAATGAAACATCCATAAAGTGTGCCAAAAAAGGGATATATGTCATGTCAGTCCAAAGCATTTGTAGTACACAACTGCACAAAATGTCAGGCTGAGTAGAGGTTAATGAAGCAAGGAAGAAAACAATAGGAAAGAAGGGAGGAGAAAAAGATATTTTTTAGTAACTTCTTGCAAAGAGAAAACAAAAGGAAGCTACAGATTTAGAGACTATGATCTTTAGAAAAAGCTACCAAAAGGATCTGATAAGAAAGATAATAGTATATCTGTCAAGGACAACAAATCTTGCCTTTCAAAGTTCTAATGACACAGGAGAGAATGAATCTGAGTGATAAGGCTCGATCTCTCTTTACAAACACAGGACAAGGTAAACCACAGGGGAAATAACCAATGAAGATGAACAGAAACAGAAGAAAGTCACGTTTCCTGTATCATTCAGTTTCCTTCAGGTTGCATCATACTATCAAATATTTTCATCCTTTATCCACCCCTTTCCCTTTCACATGCCCTTGAGTAAAATGAGCATTTTATTTTCCCTGGCATCACTCCTTCTTCCTCATTCTTCTCATCTCTTTCTCCTTTCCTTTCAACTGTTATTTCATACAGAGATCCAATACCAGTCACCACTGTGTTTTAATGCAGTAAACCTTCAATTCTACACATATAAATTCTGGAAAAAAATTGAAAATGTAAGTTAAAGTGTAATACATTTACAGAGATTTCATTCTTCACATGTAGCATTAACACAACCACAAAAAGAAGCAGAAATAAATCATTCCAATTTTATCTTCATAAGGAAAGATTATGACTACTTTTCTCAACAGTAGTAAAACACTCAGTTGATACAAATGGGTGTGAGTATTGGTTACATTACTTATGGTGGTCTGTCTTGTATAACGTTTAAGGGGAATATGTAATACTTTCCTAGATTTTAAATTAAGACTTGTGAAAAATAATAGTGAATATAATTAGATTGTCAAACACCAGTACATAACTAGAAAACTGTCTATTTATATACAGAAAAATGTGTAACATGTAAAATGCATGTATCATATCTGAAATTTTTATGATTTTTAAAAGTACAGATTTTATAACAGTAATAATAATAACAAAAACAATGCCAAGAAAAACAGCCAGAAATTCTGCCAAGTGCTTTATGATAGAACACGAGCAGAAAGAATTAAGCTCAAATTCTCATCATGGTCACTATTCCCTTAAGGAATAAGTTTTGTTGACCAGGTGTGGTAACTCACATCTGTAATCCCAGCACTTTCGGAGGTCGAGGCTGGCAGATTGACTGAGCCTGGGAGTTTGAGACCAGCCTGGGCAACATGGTGAAACCCATCTCTTAAAAAAAATACAAAATGCCAGGTGCGGTGGCTCATGCCTGTAATCCCAGCACTTTGGGAAGTGGAGGTGGGCAGATCACCTGAGGTCAGGAGTTCAAGACCAGCCTGGCCAACATGGTGAAACCCTGTCTCTACTAAAAAATACAAAAATTAGCTGGGTGTGGTGGTGCATACCTGTAATTACAGCTACTCGGGAGGCTGAGGCAGGAGAATCACTTGACCCTAGGAGGGAGAGGTTGCAGTGAGCCGAGATGGTGCCACTGCACTCCAGCCTGGGCAACAGAGCAAGACCCTGTCTCCAAAACAAAACCAAATAAAAACAAAACAAACAAACAAAACAACAACAACAAAAAATTAGTTGGGTGTGGTGTGGTGGCACACACCTGTAGCCCCAACTACATGGAAGACAGGTAGGAGGATTGCTTGAGCCCTGGAGGTTGAGGCTGCAGTGAACCATGATTGCACCACTGCTCTCCAACCTGGGTGACAAAGCAAGACCTTTTCTCCAAAAAAAAAAAAAAAAAAAATTAAATGTATTGTAAAACATGCTTTTAAATCATGTATTTAAAAAATTAACATATAGCACCTTGGCATATTTAGTATTTTGGGTTGAAAACATCCAAGAAAACCACAGAAGCAAGTCTCTTTTACCTTATTCCACCCCAACCCTCCCCTTCTCCCCTGAAGATCATAAAACCTAGAAAGAATTTTTTGAACTTCCCCTGAAGGAGTCATAAGATACTCATATGAGAGGTGATGTCCCTATACCCGAGGAAAAGGAACATTCTTCTATCTGGAGACAAAAGGTCACAGGGAAGAATCTGAAGAATAGTCCTTGCTGCTGTAGGGACAATGGAAAACTTTCCCTTCCTCTCTCAAGGCTAGAGTCTGCAGAAATAAACTGACAATAGAGTAACAGGAGAAAAGGCATACAACGTTATTAATGTACAGATGTGCATGGGAGCCATGCAAAATACGAGAATCAAAGAAGGGCCAGATGAGGCTCAAATCCCCTCTTTATGGAGGAGAGGAAAATGGAGGATGTAGGCAATTTTTAGGGGATAGTAAATGATTTTCAATGAATTGATTGGGCCCAAAAAGAGACAATAACGTGTAAATAATTCTCTCTAGAAGTTGAATCGACGGAAGAATAGATAATAGCATTTGACAAAATCTATATAGGTGTGGTGACTTTTCTCAGTCTTCCTTTCTGTGATATGTGTTTTATCTTTCCTGGCTAATGGAATCTCAAGGAAGTGATCGAAGGCAATTATATTACTTAAGGAGGAGCTTCAGGTAAGGGAACTTTAGAGAGAGAGTTCCCCTCTGTGTCTGGGGAGAAAAATAGAAGATCAGAAGACCCTTGGTTCTGAGGCTGTTTCTAAGGCCTTTTAAATTTCCTTCAATGTGAAATGCTCAGCATGCCAAAGTGCCAGATTATGGGGAATCATTTTATGAGCTTCAGCACTGAGTTTCCCCCAAGTTATTAACATTTGATTGATAAAGTTTAGGAAACACTACTCCAAAATATGGGAACTTGGCATTTGAGGAAACAGCAGAAGCAGAAAAGTCACTCTCAACTTCCTCTTGCCCTTCTCTCCTAAAGCAAGTAATAAAACCCAGAAAGTTTAGTTTTTGACCTTCTACCACTTTTCTCCCCTGGCAGGCTATTAAGACCTTCATGAGAGAAATGTCCTCGCTATTCCTGGAGGAAAGGAACAAGAATGTTCATATCCCTGAAGACACAGAAACATAAAGAAAAATCTGAACAAACAGGCCTTGCTAAATTCCCCCCAGTTTATTGCCATGAGATTGTACACTTGTGTTTTCCAATCATATTTCTCCATGACTGTTCACTCTTCATCAAACTAAGTATAAAAATATACATTTACCTGTTTCTTTGGGTCTTTATTTCTTTATTAAGGCTCCTATATCACATAAAATTTACATTTAATAAATTTGTATGTCTTCAAGTCTGGGCACAGTGGCTGATACCTGCAATCCCAGCACCTTGGGAGGCCAAGGCAAGTGGATTACTTGAGCTCAGGAGTTCAAGCTACCAGGCAGGCCAAGATGAGAGGATGGCTTGAGCCCAGGGAGGCAGATGTTGCAGTGAGCCAAGATGACACCATTGCACTCCATCCTGGGTGACAGAGCCAGATCCTATCTAAAAAAGAGAAAAAAAACAATGTATGTTGTTTTTCTCTTGTTAATTTGTCTTTTGTTGTAGGGACCATAGCCATGAACCTGAGATGGGAGGAAAAGATATATCTGTCCTTTTATGACATAAGGCCTTTTGTCCTATCATATATCTCATGACTGTGAGATATATGAAAAATACTCGGGTTTAACTGTTTCTTTGGGTGTCTTCATTTCTTTATGAAGGCTCTCCTTTCATGTAAAACTTATATTAAATATATGTGTATACTTTTCTCTTGTTAATCCGTCTTTTGTTATAGGGGCTATCATCACTTGATAGGTTCTTCCTGCCTTCTGCACAGACAAAATTAGTCCACTGAGATGGCAGCATTGCAGCAGAGAAAGAGTCAAATCAATGTGAGGCTGGCTCATTTTGGATTACTGAACTTATCATTCAAATCAGTCTCTCTGAAGGCTCAGAGGTTAGGGATTTTATAAATAATTTGGTGGACAGGGTGCTAAGGAATGGGTACTCCTGATTGGTAGCGGATAAAATTTAGAGGTGTGGAAAATAGTCCTCTTGCACTGGGTCTGCCGCTGCAGCCCATAGAACCAATTGAGTTATGAGTTACAATTCTGGATTGGTGAGTCTGAAAAACATCTCAAAAAAGACCAATCTCAGGTTTTGTAATAGTGATGTTATCTATAGGAGCAATTGGGGAAGTCACAAATCTTGTGATATCTGGTCATATGACTCCTGAGCATTAAAACTATAGAAGTTGCACCTACATCCTAGCAGAATTCATGCCCCACCCATAGGCCTATTCTTGTGGCCTTCTGTTAGTCTTACATACGTGGTTTTTGGTTCCTAAGCAAAGAGGAGGTTAGTTTTAGAGAGGGACTCTTATCATCCTTGCTTTTAAGTTAAACCAGAAACTAAATTTGCCTCCAAGTTACTTTGGCCTACGCCCAGGAAAGAACAAGAACAGCTTGGAAATCAGAAGCAAGATTAAGTGAACTATGTCAGATTTCTCTGAGTGTCATAATTTTGTAAAGGTAGATTCAGGGCCATTAACCTATGCCCCTTTCAGGCAGAATGGACTCTCTGTGACTAACTGAGGTGCTCAAAGTTAAAATAGAATCAGGTATCCATGGCTGGGTCAGGGAGCATTCTCTGTGTTCTCAGAAAGTTATTGTAAAAGTGTCACAGAACTTTTTTTTTCCTACCATCAAGCCAAACCAGCTCCTCTTGTCAGCACTGAAATAGACTGCAGCTGGACATTCCCCCACTGACTACCAACAGACTACCTGGTGCCAACTCATCAACCACTTGGAACCAACCAGTTAAGAGTGACAGGTGATTTGGGGCTACACAGTCATTCAATCAAGATTCTGTTTCTGTTTCTCACTTCCCTGACTCCCATCCCCTGTTATTATTGCCTCTATAATCACTAACTCTCAAAACACCCCACCACCTGTCTGCTCTTCTTTTACATCACAGGTTGCATCTCCCCAATCTGCAGTTGTTTTATTTTCTTCCTTTTTTTTTTAAGAAGATAAAGCTCTCCTTTTTTTTCTTTCTGCGGATCTCATGGTCCTTTTTTCACAGACTTCCCCTTAACTTTGGAAATGCTGGGAGCCACCAACTTAGTTTCCCATTTGCTGTCCATGCATTCTATAGAAAACCCTGATTATCAAAAATGTATGACCCACTTATAGAGAACATACAGTCAGTCATCCTCTGCAAAAGTGAGCTCTGTTAAAGAGAGAGGTCCTAATGTCACAATAAAAAACATGGCAAGTCCCGTGTACAAGTCAATACATTTTAACCATAAATGTAAATAAAGAATCAAGGAACACTGGATACTGGGGAAAAAATCAATAAAATGAATGTGAAGAATAAAAATGTAAAATGGAATAAGTGACATTAGGAGACACAGAAAAACTTTAGGATACAGAAGATAACATTAAAACTTTTCTAGATCATCATCTGAGAAAGATGGCAGATAGCAGATGGGGCTAACATACAGCTCCCACTTGGACGGAAAGAACAGTATGTGGAGATTCACACTGTGAACTTTGGCTCCAAGAACCATCACAGAAACATACCAGGAAAACCAAAAGAATTCACAGATCCTTTGAAAGAAGCAGCACACCACTGCAAATTCCATGAAACAGGCAAAATAGTGTGAGTTCCCAAAGTATGAGAGGGGTAAAACCTGTCTCCAAACAGACATCCCTGGGGAATCTGAAAACACAGATCACGGGAGAAGAATTTAACCTTATCTAGAGCTGAAACTGATTTAGGGAGCCACATTAAATATAAAAGTAGAAGCAGCAGTGGGAAGAGCCTTCTAGGCACTCTCGGTCTCCAGCTTGAGCCCAGAAAAGCCATCCCTGACTATATCTCACAGGGCCTTGAGGCAAGACAACCAGTGGTTTTAGGGAGGGGCCACAGAATGAAAGAAGCTTTCAACTGAAAATTATAATAATTTTTACTGGGCACTAATGATCTTCAGCAGAATCTTGGGGGTGAATGGGAACTGCTGCCGATATGAGCACAGAAGCCACTAATGACAATGTGGCAAGATGGAGAGGAGCAAGTTCCGAAAGCCATGCTTGCTTTCTTAGTGGGGAAGCTTACAGCCTGAGGCAAGGTCTGAGAGGGACACTGTGGGAGCGAGACCTGCCTCACCAACTGCCTAGGGTCTGGGTGAGGCTTTTTGTTACAGCTATCCCCTACTTCTCTGGTGAACTATTTGACACAGCAGAGGCAGCCATAATCCCCTCCGGAACATAACCCCATTGTCCTGAGAACCACCACCTCAACCCCCATGGTGGCTATGAGAAACCCTACCTAAAAAGAGTCTTAGCCCAGACCCACCTAACCCTTTGCTCTACTTCCCAGTAAGTTCCTCATCTTCATCTGAGACCGCCTCAGGCTGGACTTCATTGTCCACATTATCATCAGCATTTTGGTCAAAAGCATTCAACAAGTCTCTAGGAAGTTCCAAATGTTCCTAAATTTTTCTGTCTTCTTCTGAACCCTTAAACTGTTTCAACTTCTGCCTGTTACCCAGTTCCAAAGTTGCTTCCACATTTTCAGGTTTTCTTTATAGCAATGCCCCACTCCTGGTAACAATTTTCTGTTATTAGTCTGTTTTCATACTGGTATAAGGATACTAACTAGGATGGGGTAATTTATGAAGACAAGAGGTTTAACTAACTCACAGTTCCACATGGCTGTGGAGGCCTCAGGAATCCATGGCACAAGGTGAAGGGAAAGCAAGGCACGTCTTAAATGGTGGTGGAAGAGAGTGAGAATGCAGTGGAAACTGCCACTTTTAAACCATCAGATCTCATGAGAACCCCCAAACTATCATGAGAACAACATAGGGGAGACTGTCCTTATGATCCAATCACCTCCCACCAGGTCCCTCCATTGACACATGGGGATTACAATTTGAGATGAAATTTAGGTAGGGACACAGCACCAAACCATATCACTAAGGAAGGAGGAGAATAGCACATCAAGGAGTCACTCCTTGGGACAAAAGAATCTGAACGGCAGATCTTGAGTTCCAGACCTCTTCCGTGAAAGAGTTTACTCAAATGAGAAGAAATCAGAAAAGTAATTCTGGTAATATGACAAAACAGGGATCTATAACACCCAAAAAGATTACAGCGTCTCCCCAACAATTGATCTAAATCAAGAATAAATCTCTGAATGGCCAGTTAAATAATTCAGAAGGTTAATTATTAAGCTACTCAAGGAGATACCAGAGAAAGGTGAAAAGCAATGAAAATAAATTTAAAAAAAAACCAGGATATAGATTATAAAATGCTCCAGAGAAATAAATATCATAAAGAAAACACAATCACAAATTCTGGAAAGGAAAGACACACTTGGAGAAATACAAAATGCACTGGAAACTTTCAACAATAGACTAGAACAAGTAGAAGAAAGGACTGCAGAGCTCGAAGACAAAGCTTTTTAATAAACCCAATCAGAAAAAGAAAAAAGAAAAGTAATCAAAACAAATAAAGCCTCAGAGAAATTTGGGATTATGTTAAATGGCCAAACCTAAGAATAATTGCTGTTCCAGAGGAAGAAGAGACATCTAAGTTTGGAAAACATATTTCAGGGAATAATCAAGGGAAACTTCCCTGTTCTTGCTAGAGATCTAAACATCTCAATGCAAGAAGCTCAAAGAACACCTGAGACATTCATCAGTCATCAAAATATCTAAAGTCAAGATGAAGGAAAGAATCTTAAGAGCTGTGAGGCAAAGCATCAGGTAAGCTACAAACAGAGATGGTTAAACAAACACAAGTAAATGAATGTGATACACCAAATAAACAGAATTAAAAACAAAAACCATATGATCTTCTCAATAGATGCAGAGAAAGCATTTGACAAAATCCAGCATTGCTTTATGGTTAAAATCCTCAGCAAAATTGGCATAGAAGGGAAATACTTTAAGGTAATAAAAGCTATCTATGACAAACCCACAGCCAACATTATACTGAACAGAGAAAAGTGGAAAGCATTCCTCATGAGAACTGTAACAAGACAAGGATGCCTACTTTCACCTCTTCTATTTAACATAGTACCAGAAATCGTAGACAGAGCAATCAGACAAGACAAAGAAATACAAGGCACCCGAGTCAGTAAAGAGAGAGTTAAACTGTTGCTGTTTGACAACGATATGATCCTATACCCAGAAAACCCTAAAGACTCTTTCAAAAAGCTCCTAGATCTGATGAATAAATTCTATAAAGTTTCAGGATACAAAATCAGTGTACACAAATCAGTAGCACTGCTATACACCAACAATGACCAAGCTGAGAATCAAATTAAGAACTCAATCTCTTTTACAACAGCTGCAAAAATCAAAATAAAACGAGACAAAAACACTTAGGAATATATCTAACAAATGATGTGAAAGATCTCTACAAGTAAAACTACAAAACACTGCTGAAAGAAATCATCAATGACACCAACAAATGGAAACACATCCTATGCTCATGGATGGGTAGAATCAATATTATGAAAATGACCATACTGCCAAAAGCAATATACAGATTCAATGCAATTCCCATCAAAATACCATAATCATTCTTCACAGAACTAGAGAAAACAATCCTAAAATTCATATAAAACCTAAAAAGAGCCCACATAGCCAAAGCAAGATAAACAAAAAGAGCAAATCTGGAGGCATCACATTACCCAACTTCAAACTATACTATAAGGCTATAGTTACCAAAAGAGCATGGTGCTAGTTTAAAAATAAGCATGTAAACCAATGGAACAGAATAGAGAATCCAGAAACAAGGCCAAATATTTACAGCTAACTCATCTTTGACAAAGCAAACAAAAACATAAAAGTGGGGAAAAGAAATCCTATTCAACAAATGGTGCTGGGATAATTGGCAAGCCACATGTAGAAGAATGAAACTGGATCCTCATCTTTCACCTTATAAAAAAATCAATGCAAGATGGATCAAAGACTTACATCTAAGAAATGAAACCCAAAAATTCTGGAAGATAACGTTGAAGAAAGTCTTCTAGATGTTTGCTTAGGCAAAGAATTCATGACCAGGAACCCAAAAGCAAATGCAACAAAAACAATGAAAAACAGATTGGACCTAATTTAACTAAAAAGCTTATTCACAGCAAAAGAAATAATCAGAAGAGTAAACACACAACCCACAGAATGCAAAAAAATATATTTGCAAAATATGCATCCCACAAAGCTTTAATATCCAGAATCTATGAGGAACTCAAACAAATCAGCAGGAAAAAAAAAAACAAATAATTTCATCCAAAAGTGATCAAAGGACGTGAATAGACAGTTCTCAAAAGAATATATACAGATGGTCAATAAACATACGAAAAAATACTCAACATCAGTAATTATCCAGGGAATGCAAATCAAAGCCTCAATGAGATACCACCTTCCTCCTGAAAGAATGGCCATAATTAAAAAAAAAAATAGATGTTGGCATGGATATGGTGAAAAAGGAACACTTATACACTGTTGGTGGAAATGTAAACTAGTACAACTACTAAGTAAAACAATATGGAGATTCCTTAAAGAACTAAAAGTTGAACTACCATTTGATCCAGAAGCCCTACTACTGAGTATCTACCCAGAGGAAAAGAAGTCATTATATGAAAAAGACTCTTAGAGATTTTTTAATGTCCTCACTGTCTATTAAATATTCTTGTCCTCAAGGAAAACATCCATCAGACACTTAGGAAATAGTTATGTGCTGTACCCTAAAAAAGACTTCCTTTTCTTTTCTCTTTTCTAATAATATTGGTATGATAATAAATGAACAATATCATTATCAAACATGTATCTCCTTCCTGATGGAACCAGCCTAAATGCCCATGAACCAACGAGTAGATAAAGAAAATGTGGTGTGTATATATAAATGTGTGTGTGTGTGTGTGTGTGTGTGTGTAAATACCATGGAATACTGCTCAGCCATAAAAAGGAACAAAATAATGGCATTTGCAGCAACCCAGTTGGAGTTGGAGACCATTATTCTAAGTGAAGTAACTCAGGAATGGAAGTCCAAATATTGAATGTTCTCACTTATAAGTAGGAGCTAAGCTATGCGGATGCCAAGGCATAAGAATAATATAAACTTTGGGGTCTTGGAGGGAAGAGTGGGAGGCAA
The DNA here is from genome assembly GCF_000001405.40 of Homo sapiens. Taxonomy (NCBI): domain Eukaryota; kingdom Metazoa; phylum Chordata; class Mammalia; order Primates; family Hominidae; genus Homo; species Homo sapiens. The sequence continues at coordinate 165,430,210 of NC_000003.12, read as the reverse complement.
GTGAGGGATAAAAGGCTACTCCTTGGGTACAGTGTACACCGCTTGGGTGACAGGTGCACCAAAATCTCAGAAATCACCACTAAAGAACTTATCCATGTTAAAAAAAATTATCATCTATTTCTATGCTGTATATATAAGTTATTTTATATTCTTATGCCTTGGCATCTGCATCGCTTAGCTCCCACTTATAAGTGAGAACATTCAATATTTGGATTTCCATTCCTGAGTTACTTCACTTAGACTAATGGTCTCCAACTCCATCCAGGTTGCTGCAAATGCCATTATTTTTTTCCTTTTTATGGCTGAGCAGTATTCCATGGTACGTACACACACACACACACACACACACACACGCACTTATATACACATACCACATTTTCTTTATCTATTCGTTGGTTGATGGGCATTTAGGCTGGTTCCATGTTTTTGCAATTGCAAATTGTGAAATAATTATATTTGACGCTTCCTGTATTAAAGTAACAAATTAGTATTAGAGTTTTCAACATGGAATAGTAACAAAAAGTTGTTTTTGTGTAATTTGTCTAGAAAGACATGACGTTTCAGATCTCTCTAGAATAATTCTCCTTGCTTTGTGTTAGCTTTATCACATTTTTGATTATTTTAAATGATAACAAAAGCAACACACAAAAACACAAAGAAGGCAGGTTTCTCTTTTGTGGAAGATGAGAATTCTTTCTAATAATCCTTTCTTCTATGTTTACTTTAACACATTTTATCACTTTGATTAAATAGGTATACAAGTATAGTTTCTCAGGTTCCTGTGACCCTGTCTTTATTAAATGACCAAATCTTTTTGACAACTCTTGCTTTTAGCTTCCTAAGATCAGATCCTAAATTAAAACTAAACTAAAATAAAAATTTCATATTATCTCTCACAGCTAAAACTATCTTTGAGTCTTCCCAAAGGACACCAAGAAAATCACAAAGATTGATTTTATCTATTAAACTGGAAATGGGTTCTAGCAATAACTAGGTTGGCTTGGCAGACTCCTTATGTTTTAATTAGCTCAATATCGTTGTAAGAGCTACACAAGAAGTGTCAAATCAAATAGTCACATTTCCTAGGTTAAGTTTATTTTTTAAAGTATTAATATTAGTATTTAGAAATTGTATTCTTTGGGGAAAGGCTTAGAGATTTGTTTTTAAGTGGTATCTGATTCTCCCTATGTCCTTAGAATTCAGAAATACATACTTTTACTGAGTCTCATTAATTTTCATGGTAATATATTTATTTGCCTAGGTTGAATAAAAATCTATCCTTTTTTAACGGGACACATTTGAGCAAATTGACTGTGCGCCTAAGTTTATATTTGAAAATAAACCTCATTTATTCTCATTAAATAAACCTCATTTATTTTCAAATATGAACTTAGCTAGGACAAGCTTACTATTAAACAACAAGCATAAACTTTCTGTGTGAAATCAACATCTACAAAGCTCCGTCCTCCCAAGAAAACTGGCTTGGGTACTTGGCTTAAAGTTTCTTAAATACAAAAAAGTAATTTCCGGGGACACTGAGAGCCCCAGATCTATACTATGTGTGGGTGTAGACCCTAAGTGTTGCAATATTTCATAACATACAGGGCTCTTTATACATGTCTGGACTTGAGAGCAGGCAGGAAATAACTTTTTTTTTTTTTTTTCTTATCCACTATCCTTGCAAACCCACCCTTTGTACTCATTGACTCTTTACCTTTAGACAAATCCCTAGGCAGAACCCATAGTTCTTTCAGAAAATTTCAGGCAATAAAATGTCCTCACTTCATTATCAGGTAATTTCAAAAAATCATCTCTTTTTCTAGGTAATACATCCCTATACACCAATAACAGACAAACAGAGAGCCAAATCATGAGTGAACTTCCATTCACAATTGCTTCAAAGAGAATAAAATACCTAGGAATCCAACTCACAAGGGATGTGAAGGACCTCTTCAAGGAGAACTACAAACCACTGCTCAAGGAAATAAAAGAGGATACAAACAAATGGAAGAACATTCCGTGCTCATGGGTAGGAAGAATCAATATCGTGAAAATGGCCATACTGCCCAAGGTAATTTATAGATTCAATGCCATCCCCATCAAGCTACCAATGACTTTCTTCACAGAATTGGAAAAAACTACTTTAAAGTTTATATGGAATCAAAAAAGAGCCCGCATTGCCAAGACAATCCTAAGCCAAAAGAATAAAGCTGGAGGCATCATGCTACATGACTTCAAACTATAATACAAGGCTACAGTAACCAAAACAGCATGGTACTGGTACCAAAACAGAGATATAGACCAAGGGAACAGAACAGAGCCCTCAGAAATAATACCACAAATCTACAACCAACTGATCTTTGACAAACCTGACAAAAACAAGAAATGGGGAAAGGATTCCCTATTTAATAAATGGTGCTGGGAAAACTGGCTAGCCATATGTAGAAAGCTGAAACTGGACCCCTTCCTTACACCTTATACACAAATTAATTCAAGATGGATTAAATACTTAAATGTTAGACCTAAAACCATAAAAACCCTAGAAGAAAACCTAGGCAATACCATTCAGGACATAGGCATGGGCAAGGACTTCATGTCTAAAACACCAAAAGCAATGGCAACAAAAGCCAAAATTGACAAATGGGATCTAATCAAACTAAAAGCTTCTGCACAGCAAAAGAAACTACCATCAGAGTGAACAGGCAACCTAAAGAATGGGAGAAAATTTTTACAATCTACTCATCTGACAGAGGGCTAATATCCAGAATCTACAATGAACTCAAACAAATTTACAAGAAAAAAACAAACAACCCCATCAACAAGGGGACAAAGGATATGAACAGACACTTCTCAAAAGAAGACATCTGTGCAGCCAAAAGACACATGAAAAAATGCTCATCATCACTGGCCCTCAGAGAAATGCAAATCAAAACCACAAGGAGATACCATCTCACACCAGTTAGAATGGCGATCATTAAAAAGTCAGGAAACAACAGATGCTGGAGAGGATGTGGAGAAATAGGAACACTCTTACACTGTTGGTGGGACTTTAAGCTAGTTTAACCATTGTGGAAGATAGTGTGGTGATTCCTCAAGGATCTAGAACTAGAAATACCATTTGACTCAGCCATCACATTACTGGGCATATACCCAAAGGATTATAAATCATGCTGCTATAAAGACACATGCACACATATGTTCATTGTGGCACTATTCACAATAGCAAAAACTTGGAACCAACCCAAATGTCCATCAGTGATATACTGGATTAAGAAAATGTGGCCCATATATACCATGGAATACTATGCAGCCATAAAAAAGGATGAGTTCATGTCCTTTGTGGGGACATGGATGAAGCTGGAAACCATCATTCTCAGCAAACTATTGCAAGGACAAAAAACCAAACACCATATGTTCTCACTCATAGGTGGGAATTGAACAATGAGAACACTTAGACACAGGAAGGGAAACATCACACACCGGGGCCTGTCGTGGGGTGGGGGCAGGGTGGAGGGATAGCATTAGGAGGTATGCCTAATGTAAATGATGAGTTAATGGGTGCAGCACACCAACATGGCACATGTATGCATATGTAACAAACCTGCACGTTGTGCACATGTACCCTAGAACTTAAAGTATATTAAAAAAAAGTAATACAAGTCCAAATCTTAACCAAACTTTGAAACTTCTTGTTTTGTTTTGTTTTGTTTTTGGACAGGATCTTGCTCTGTCACCTAGGCTGCATGGAGTGGATTGGCACAATCATACCTCACTGCAGTCTCAACCTTCTGGCTCAAGCCATCCTCCTATCTCAGCTTCCTGAGTAGCAAAGACTATAGGTGCATGCCACCACATGCAGCTAATTGTTTTTTTTAACTTCTTGTGATTTTACATTACTCTATTTTCCAAGTTTGAGTCTATCTCAGAATGGAAAGCCTGCTATAGGGAGGAGGCATGATAAGTTTCTTCTCTTTTTCTAGCTCTCTATACTGTCCACTGGCTAGATGCTATTTAGGGTCATTTCCATGTTTGGGGAGTTGGTAATGAACAGTGGTAAATGGTACAACTGGGTACAATCGTATGTCTGTCTTATGAATGTCGGTTCCAGAGATTCACAGCTGCTGTCTTTTTCTCCAGTAGGACACTTTGCTTGATGGGTTTTTTGAAGATCCTCATTTCCTAGGGAGCTCTTACATATGTGTCTCTTTCATGGGAGCTGACTCCTCCAGCTGGCTGCTTGAGACTTCCTCCTTATCTTTCTGTCTTCTGAAGATATACTGTCCTTTTTATGGTTGCCTCCCCCATCCAGAAAGTTTTCTCAAGATGCTCACATTCTTCTTATACAATGGGTATACCACCTTTACTTGGCAAATGTGAAAGAGTAGAAGGATACCAGTGAAGGCTCAGTTGCTTGCTCTGCCTATCAAGATAATTCAGCCAGCTCCAGCTACTTGCCTTTAGACTTTTTAGTCTCTCAAACTCAAGGAACATAAAACTCTCTGAATGACTTTCTCAGAATCTTTTTTTTGAGATACATGTGAGAGGGAACATAGCCAGGGAGGAGAGTTAACTCACATAGCATACTGACAGCTCTCTCCAAGAAATCATGTGCATCTACAAGCCTCTTCAATTTCTTCTCTATTGTACCACGCAGGTGGGTGATATGCCAGAGTATAACAATAGTTTAGATGTCTTTAAAGGTAATCAACCATCTTTTTGTAAGATATGAGCATATTTGACTTTTGAGGTCTTTGACCAAACTCTGAGACAACAAAATCATACTTAACATTCTGTTACGTTTGTTCCCTTCTATCCCTGTAAACCCAAATTATCCTTAAGTAAATCTCATTCTTCTGTTTGCTACTTATAAATACTCTCAACAGGTTGCAACTATCTCATAGTAGTAATTTTACTCTAGCAGCTCATGGTTCCATTTTTCTCTCTAGGAGTCCTTGATGAGCCTGGGATACATCTTTAACGTTGGGTTTGGGTTCTTAGAGTATCTTTGGTGAGTCTCCCTCAAGCAGACACTTTATTGACAAATGGACCAGTGAAAAGTGAAGAAAAGTTACCCTTTCTTTTGAACTACTCTCCCTGAATATTTATTTGTGGACTTTTCTTCTGCCTCCTGAATCTTTTTATGCAGTTTTTCAGCCACTTAGTGGAATGTTCATTTCAATTTTAAATTGAAATGAACCTCCAAACTTTCATTCAATTAAAGCTTCTTCTGTCAACTCTAACTTATTTCAGGTCAGATAATCTTTGATGTGGAAACTTGGAGTGATTTTTTAATCTTTATTTTCTTGCTCTAATTTATTCTCCTCTTGATTACTGCTATTTTAGGTTCATCCAGTGTTAGAAAATGAGCAGAGAAGGGTAAAGTGTATTTACCAAGCCACACTGATAACTCTCTATAAAGAAATTTCCAGTGGGCTTTTCAACTTTCTTCCTTTCATAATTTCAGGGTTGGTAAAGATCAAAAGCTAGCTGAAATGACCAAACTTCTAACACGTCCTGTATAGTTGAGTTGGCACCTTACTTTGGGATGAGGGGATGTTTTCACCTATCTTACTATTCTTGGCCTTGGAGTTATCTGCCTAAATTCTCAGACAATAAAAGAATGACAGCTAACATCTGACACCCTAATAGATATTAGTGCTTATCACATGACAAGAACTTTTCTGAACATTTTGTTAGCTCTTTTAATTTTCAACCTTACTAAAGGCCGTATAATCACCCTATTTAAATATAACCAAACTGAGATAGAGACATTAAGTAATGTATTTAAGTTAATTGCAGTATTGAATTAAAACATTTCCCTATGCTAAATCTAATGATAAGGAAGCCACCATATAATAATAAAAAGGAAAAAGAAAAATGGCCAACTGTATGGCTCACGATTGTAATCCCAACACTTTGAGAGTCCAAAATGGGAGGATCATTTCAGGCCAGGAGTTCAATACCAGCCTGGGCTACATATATATATCAGCCAAGAGTGATGGTGCATGCTTGTGGCCCTAGCTACTCTGACAGCTCAGTGGAGAGGATCATTTGAGCCCAGGAAGTCAAGGCTACAGTGAGGTATAACTGTGCCACTGCACTCCAGCCTGGTTGGCAGAATCAGACCCTATCAAAAACTACTACTAGTAAGATGTAACTATTGTGACCCCCATTGTCAAAAAAACTTAAAATTAGTAAAATGTAAAATATTTGGATTACCCTAATTAGCAAATTAGGTCTAAAACTCATAATAGTTAATTGGAGACCACACCTCTATTTCTTCTTCCTTAATTATGCTCCAGAAAGAAACACCCCAATTACAGGAAAGAATTTGTGTGTGGGAAGAGAAGGTGGGGAAATGATATGGAGAGGGGCAGTGTTTAGATACAACGTATGAAGTAACTATTAGATCAACTTACAAGGAGGCAGCATTAGGCTAAACTTCATTTTATAGGACATAGCCCCACCCAGAGTTGAGGAGCATCTATATGTTGAACTGGATGATAATAAAAACACATGAGAAGAAATATAAAGGTAAGAGTAGAGTAGAAATTAATGTAATACAAAACAAACAACAGAGAAATATAAAAAATTAAAAATGTGTTCTTTAAGTAGATTAATAAATTTGGTGAATCGATCAAAAATACAATGAGAGACAGAGAGAGAGAGAGAGAGAGAGAGAGAGAGAGAGAGACTTACCAATACCAGAGAAAAGGAGAAATATTCTAAAGATATTGGAGGAAGAATAATGAGATATTTGAAATGATTCCAGAAAATTCAAGAACATTCCCAAATTAAACATTAGGTCCATGTGACTTTACAGATGAACTCTAGCAAACATATAACAAGAAAATAGTATCAATACTAAACAAATTATTTCAGGAAATAAAGGAGGAAACTTGTCCCAACTTCTCTTATAAAGCCAGAATACCTCAGGTACCAAAGTCCAGTAAAAAAACATTTCCACTCTGGGATACCAGAATAGGCCACCCCAAAATAAGCCTCTTTGGCATAAGTATTGTTTTAAGCTAAAGGCAATTAAAAAGACACAGATGCAGGAACGTTTTCTGCCCTCCCTTTATTGGCCTACAAGTAGGACATACGTTTAGAAAGACAAAAGATATCCCTTCCTTCTTCTCTATCAGGGAGGACAAAACTTAACCACTGAACACAACTTTAGATCCTTATTGGTCTAAAGAGACGGCACCAGAAAAATACACATTTAATGAGCTTTATCAACTAGTTTTTATCTACCATGTATTTGCCTTGCCACAATTTGCTGCCCTTAGAAACTCTACGTTGTTTTCTTTTACTTTGTCACGTCTGTAAAAATCTATTGTTCTTCGTTGAAGATGCCATATAAGTTGGAATTCAAAGCCACCTTTTTGAGAAAGACTCAATTCCTGGGTGTCACCAATGTGTATATATATACACAATGTATATATATATTATGTGTATATATATATACATGTATATATATACACATTGTATATATATATTATGTGTATATATATACATGTATATATACAGTATATATACATGTATATATATACATGTATATATACAGTATATATACATGTATATATATACATGTATATATATTGTATATATATACACAATGTATATATATACACACACATATATATAATATACATGTTAATAAACCTCTATTTTTCTCTTGTTATGTCTTTTGCAGTTATCCAACCCCTGTCCCTCTAATCTTTCTGCCTTACCTTACAGGAGGAAAAACCTAAGAAACCCTTGTGAAGGTCACAGCCCAGTGACACAGCCTCAGTAAAAGAATGAGATTAAATCAAAAGATAGTAGAATGCTTCCTCTCAGCCCATCCTTTATACCATATCAACAGTGGATTGTAGCTGAAAGACATGCAAGACACAGACTCCATTTCAGAGGGAGTTCTATAGGAAACACAAAGACAACGGGGGAACAAAAGCAAAGGTGCTAGGGAAATTTAAAGTTTCTGGTACCTGCAATAACAACAAACATTAAATGTACTCCAACTATTAGCCAGATTAACATAAAACTTTGCAGTAAAGGCCTATTTATCTTCATTCCTGTTACTCAGTGCATCATGTCTGGTTTCAATACGTTACTACAAGATGTGAGAAAAGGCAAGAAAAAACACAGGCTGAAGAGGGAAAGCAAGCGTCAGATATAACACAAATTTTAGAATTATGACACAGGGAATTTAAAATAATTATGATTAATATGCTAAGGGCTGTAGCAAAAAAAGTAGACAAGATGCAAGAACAGATACGTAATGTAAACAAATGCAAACTCTAAGAAAGAATTAAAATGAAATGACAGAAATCAAATCACTGAAGAGAATCATAGACCTAAATGTAAAATGCAAGACAATAAAACTTCCAGAAGAAAATATAGGTGACTTTTAGTTTGATGATGAGTTTTAACTACAATACCAAAAGCAAAATCTATACAAGTAAAATTTGATAATTTGGACTTTAATGAAATTAAAAACTTCTGCTTGTGAATGACACTGTCAAGAGAATGAAAAAAAAAAAGCTACAGACTGGGAGAAAGTACCTAAAAAACATATAAATATACAAAAGAACACAAAATTGAAAAATAGAAAGCAATGCAATTTTTAAAATGAGATAAGTTTTAAACAGTGGTACAACTGTTTGGTGGTACAACTCACCAAAGATGTACCAATGGCATATAAACATGAAAACATGTTCAACATCATTTGTGTTTAGGGAATTTCAAATTAAAACAAGAGTGAATAAACTGCACACTTATTAGAAAGGCGATAATTTGACAATGCTAAGGTTGCAGAGCAAGGCTGTAGAGCAACAAAACTACAGAGACAATAAAGACATCAGTGGTTTCCAGGGGATTGTGGGGACGGAAGATTAGATAGGTGAAACACAAACAATTTTTTAGGGCAGTGAAAATATTCTGTATGATATTGTAATGGTGGATATGACATCATGTATTTCTCAAAACCCATTGAACTCTACAGCAAAAGGAGTGAATCTTAACATCTGCAAATTTTTAAAAAAGCATTTAAGAGGTCAGGGGATCTTAGGGAGGAAGGCAAACTGTGACATAATAATCTAACTGTATTACAAATGTTTGAAACAACTGAACTAGACATTGGTATTTATAAAACTGTTAATACCCTAGAGCATGATTTTCTCTGGTCAGCAGATATTTATATAAATAAAAGACTTTCCATTTTTTAATATGACAGGAAAGGCTATATTTGATCTTTTTTTAGCTTTCAAGTTCGAGGGTACATATGCAGGTTTGTTACATCGGTAAACTCATGCCATGGGAGTTTGTTGTACAGATTATTTCATCATCCAAGTATTAAGCCTAGTACCCATTAGTTATTTTTCCTGATCCTCCCCTCCTCCTACCCTCCACCCTCCGGTAGGCCCCAGTGTCTGTTGTTACTCTCTGTGTCTCCATGTGTTCCCATCATTTAGCTCCCATTTAAAAGTGAGAACATATGGTATTTGGTTTTCTGTTCCTGGGTTAGTTTGCTAAGGATAATGGCCTCCATCTCCATCCATGTTCCTGTAAAGGACATGATCTCATTCTTTTTTATGGCTGCATAGTATTTCATGGGGTATATGCACCACATTTTCTTTATCTGCCATTGATGGGCATTTAGGTTGATTCAATTTTTCTGCTATCGTGAATAGTGCTGCAGTGAACATATGTGTGTATGTGTCTTTATGATATAATGATTTATATTCCTTTGCGTATATACTCAATAATGGGATTTGTGGGTTAAATAGTAGTTCTGTTTTCAGGTCTTTGAGGAATCACCACACAGGCTGAGAAATCACCACACTGGAAATCCACAATGGTTTAACTAATTTATACTCTTAACAAAAGTTTATAAGCATTCCCTTTTCTCTGCAGCCTTGCCAGCACCTATTATTTTTTAACATTTTAAAAGTAGCTATTCTGACTGATGTGAGATGGTATCTCATTGTGGTTTTGAATTGCATTTCTCTAGTGATCAGTGACATTGAGCATTTTTCGTATGCTTCTTGGCTGCATGTATGTCTTCTTTTGAAAAGTGTCTGTTAATGTCCTTTGCCCACATTTTAATGGGGTTGCTTCTGTTTTGTTTGTAAATTTATTTAAGTTCTTTATAGCTGTTGGATATTAGACATTTCTCAAATGCATAGTTTGCAAAATTTTTCTCCCATTCTGTCTGTTTTCCCTTTTGTTAGCTTCTTTTGCTTTGCAGAAGCTCTTTAGCTTAATTATTAATAGATTCAATTAGTCAAGTTTTGCTTTTGTTTCAATTTTCTTTGATATCTTCTTCATAAAATCTTTGCCTGTTCCTACGACCAGAATGGTATTTCCTAGGTGTTTTCCAGCATTTATATAGTTTTGCCTTTTACATTTAAGTCTTTAATTCATCTTGAGTTAATTTTTGTATATAATGTAAGGAAGGGGTCCAGCTTCAGTTATCTGCATATGGCTAGCCAGCTATCCCAGCACCATTTATTGACTAGGGAGTCCTTTCCCCATTGCTTGTTTTTGTCAACTTTGTTGAAGATCAGATAGTTGTAGGTGTATGGCATTATTTCTGGGCTCTCTATTCTGTTCCATTAGTCTATGGGTCAATTTTTGTAACTGCTATGCTGTTTTGGTTACTATAGCCCTGTACTATAGTTTGAAGTTGGGTAGTATGATGCCTTCAGCTTTTTTTTTTTTTTTGCTTAGGATTGTTTTGGCTATTTGGGCTCTTCATTGGCTCCATAGCAATTTTAAAATAGTTTTTTCTAGTTCTCAGAAAAGTGTCATTGATAAATGGATAGAAACAGCATTGAATCTAAATACTGCTTTGGGCAGTATGGTCATTTTAACAATATTGATTCTTCCTATCCATGAGCATGGAATGTTTTTCTATTTGTGGCAGCTCTTATTTCTTTGAGCAGTGTCTTGTAGTGCTAGTTATAGAGATCTTTCACCTCCTTGGTTACCTGTATTCCTAGATACTGTATTCTTTTTGTGACCATTGTGAATGGGAGTGCATTTTTGATTTGGCTGTCAGCTTGATGTTGTTGGTGTATAGGACTGTTAGTGATTTTTGCATATTGATTTTGTATCCTGACATTTTGCTGAAGTTCTTTATCAGCTTAAGGAATGTTTGGGCTGAGACTATGGAGTTGTCTAGATATAAGATGATGTCTACAAACAGGGAAAGTTTGACTTTCTCTCTTCCTATTTGGATACTTTTATTTCTTTTTCTTACCTGATTACTCTGGCCAAGATTTCCACTAGTATGTTGAAGAGGAGTGGTGAGAGGTCCTGTGCTCTCTTGTGCTGGTCTTGTGCTGGTTTTCAAGGGGAATGCTTCTAGTTTTTGCCAATTCAGTACGATGTTGCCTGTGGGTTTGTCATACATGGCTCTTATTATTTTGAAGTGTGTTCCTTCAATAGCTAGTTATTGAGAGTTTTTAACATGAAGAAGTATTGAATTTTATCAAAGGGATTTTTTGCATCATTTGAGATAATCATGTGGTTTTGTCTTTAGTTCTGTATGTGATGAATCACATTTATTGATTTGTGTACATTGAACCAACCTTGTATCCCAGGGATAAAGATTACTTAATTGTGGTGGATAAGCTTTTTGATGTGCTGCTGAATTCTGTTTGCCAGTATTTTTTTGAGGATTTTTGCATTTATGTTTATCAAGAATATTGGAATAAGTTTTCTTTTTTTGTTGCATCTCTGTCAGATGTTGGTATCAGGATGATGTGTGCCTCAGAATGAGTTAAGGAGGAGTTTGCCCTTCTCCATTTTTTGGAATAGTTTTAGTAGAGATGTATGAGCTCTCTTTGTACACCTGGTAGAATTTGGCTGTAAACCTGTCTGGTTCTGGACTTTCTTCAGTTGGTAGGCTATTTATTACAGATTCAATTTTGGAGCTCGTTATTGATCTGTTCAGGAATTGAATTTCTCTCTGGCTCAGTCTTGAGAGAGTGTGTGTCTAGAAATTCATCCATTTCTTCTAGTTTTCTAGCTTATGTTAATAGAGTGTTCATAATATTTTCTGATAGTAATTTGTATTTCTGTAGGATCAGTGGTAATATCTCCTTTGTTGTTTCTAATTGTATTTACTTGGATTTTCTTTCTTTTCTTTATTAGTCCAGCTAGCAATATATCTATTTCATTAACATTTTTTTTAAAAAAACACTTGCATTTGTTGATCTTCTGTATAGTTTTTTGTGTCTCAATTTCCTTCACTTCAACTACGATTTTGGTTATTTCTTGTCTTCTGCTAACTTTGGCGTTGTTTTGCTCTTGGTTCTCCAGTACTTTTAGTGGTGATGTTTGGTTGTTAAATTGAGACCTTTCTAACTTTATGATGTGGGCTGTAATAGTATGTTCTAATGCTGCTGATAAAGACATACTACCCAAGACTGGGTAATTTATAAATAAAAACAGGTTTAATGGACTCACAGTTCCACATGGCTGGGGAGGCCTCACAATCATGGTGGAAGGCAAAAGGCACACCTTACATGGCAGCAGACAAGAGAGAGTATTTGTGCAGGGAAACTCCCCTTTATAAAACCATCAAATCCCATGAGACTTATTCACTATCATGAGAACAGCCCAAGAAAGACCTGTCCCTGTGATTGAATTACCTCCTACCAGGTCCCTCCCACAACATATGGAAATAGCGGGCACTACAATTCAAGATGAGATTTGGGTAGGGACACACTCAAACTATGTTATGAGCATTTAGTGCCATAAATTTCCTCTTAATGCAGCCTTAGCTGTGTCCCAGATATTATGGTATGTTGTATCTTTGTCCTAATTAGTTTCAAAGAACTTCTTACGTTCTGCTTTAATTTCATTATTTACCCAAAAGTCATTCAAGAGAAGGTTATTCAATTTCCATGTAATTGTACAGTTTTGAGTGAACGTCTTAGTCTTGATTTCTAACTTCATTTCATTACACTATGGTCCAAGAGAGTAGTTGTTATTATTTCAGTTGGTTTGCATTTGCTAAGGAGTGCTTTGTGTCCAATTATGTGGTGAATGTCAGAAAATGTGCCATGTGGCAGTGAGAAGAATGTATATTCTGTTGCTTTTGGGTGGGGAGTTCTATAGTTGTCTGTCAGGTCCATTTGATCCAGTCCTGAGTTCAGGTCCTGCATGTCTTTGTTAATTTTCTGCCTTGATGATCTGTCTAATATTGTCAGTGGGGTGTTAAAATCTCCCACTATTATTGTTTGGGAGTCTAAGTCTTCTTAAAGATCTAGAAGAACTTGCTTCATGAATCTGGGTGCTCCTGTGTTGGGTGTGTAAATATTTAGGATAGATAGGTCTTCTTGTTGAATTGAAACCATCACCATTATATAATGTCCTTCTTTGTCTTTTTTCATCTTTGTTGGTTTAAAGTCTGTTTTGTCTGAAATTAGAATTGCAACCCTTGCTTTTTTCTGTTTTCCTTTGCTTAGTAGATATTTCCTCATCCCTTTATTTTTAGCCCATTTGTGCCATTGCATGAGATAGGTGCCTTGAAGAGAGCATACCAATGGGTCATGGTTCTTTATCTAGCTTGCCATTCTATGCCTTTCAATTGGGACATTTAGCTCATTTACATTCAAGGTTAGTTTTGATATGTATGGATTTGATCTTGTCATTATGATGCTAACTGGTTATTTTGCAGACTTGTTTGTGTGGTTGCATTATAGTGCAACAGTCTGTGTACTTCAGTGTGTTTTTGTAGTGGCTGGTAACAGTCTTTTCTTTCTATTGTATATTTAGTGCTTCCTTCAGGAGCTCTTGTAAGACAGGTCTGCTGGTAATGATTTCCCTCAGTATTTGCATGTCTGAAAAGGACCTTATTTATCCTTCACTTATGAAGCTTAGTTTGGCTAGATATGAAATTCTGGTTGGAATTTCTTTTATTTAAAAATGTTGAATATTGGCCCCCAATCTCTTCTGGCTTGTAGGGTTTCTGTTGAGAGGTCCACTGTTAGTCTGATAGACTTCCTTTTGTAGGTGATATGGCCTTTCTCTATAGCTGCTTTAACATTTTTTATTTCATTTTGACCTTGGAGAATCTGATGATTATGTGTCTTGAGGATGATTGTCTTTTCTTGTAAAGTATCTTACTGGGGTTCTCTGCATTTCCTGAATTTGAATGTTGGCCTCTCTAGCTACATTGGGGAAATTTTTATGGATGATATCCTGAAATATGTTTCCAAGTTACTGACAACCTCTTCCTCTCTTTCAGGGACACAAACGAGTTGTAGATTTCGTCTCTTTACATAAACCCACATTTCTTAGAGATTTTATTTTTTGCTTTTCATTGAACTTTTTCCTAATTTTATCTCACTGTTTTATTTTAGAAAGCTAGTCTTCAAGTTCTGAGACTCTTTCCTGAGCTTGGTCTATTCCACTATTGATCCTTGTGATGGTATTATGAAATTATTGTAGTGTTTCAGCTCTAACAGGTTAGTTATACTCTTTTCTATGCTGGCTGTTTTGTCTATCAGCTCCCGCATTGTTTCATTGTGATTCTTAGGCTTCCTTGGTTTGGATTTCAACATACTCCTCAATGATCTTTGTTCCTATCCATATTCCAAATTTTATTTCTGTCATTTCAGCCATCGCAGCCTGATTCAGAACCCATGATGCAGAGGTGGCATGGTCATTTGGAGGAAAGAAGACACTCTAACTTTTTGAGTAGTCAGAGTTCTTGCATTGGTTCATTCTCATTTGTGGGCCGATGCTTCTTCAATCTTTAAAGTTCCTGACCTTTAGATGATTTTGTTTTTCCTTTTATCTTATTTGATGACCTTGAGGGTGTGATTGTAGTATAAGGTGAATTTAGCCAGCTGGCTTCATTTCCAGAAGATTTTAGGGGGCCAGCACTCAGCTCCCAACTTTTGGACTGCATGCTCTTCCTCTGGTGGACTTCTATTACTCCGTGACTTCTTTCTCTGGCTATTTGAGCTTAGGAATCCAAGGCACTGCGGGGAAGAGGGCAAGGTGCTACCAGACCACTGGTCACTACACTCTAATAGGTGGAGTTAGCCAAGCATTTCATAGTGCAGTGGAAGGGTCTGTCCTCGTTTGAACATCCCGGCAGCAGCGGCAGTGGCAGTGCTGCAGGGTGCACACTTGTCAGCTGCAGCGGGGCACTAGCAGGTGTCAGGGTGCCTGCCTCCATGCGAGAATTCACCACAGTGGTGGAGGCAGCATGGCTAGGGGTGGAAGGGGAGAAGATATGGGCCCTGCTGGCAACTGTGCATGTGGTCACGCCGGTGGTGGTGTTAGCATGGGGGCAGGGTGCTGGTGGGTGCAGGTCTGTGTGTGTTCTATGTGTGCTGTAAGTAGGGCTGGTAGCTCAGGGTGGGAGATGGTCTGCTGTTCTCTGAGACTAGTTTCTTTCTTGTACCATTGTTGGCACCAGAATGGGCACTGGTGGGGGTGGAGCTGGCTGGCTCTGTGCCTGCCAAGGATCTCACTGCAATGATAGTCCACGGAGGGGAAGCTTCTTTTTTTTAAAACAGACATTGGTTTTTGTTTTGGTTGTTATTTTTTAATTGAAAGACAGATGAGGAATCACATTGAATTTAGTGCCTGCAATTTCTGGATTCAATAGTGTTATAAATAAGATTAAAAAGACAAGATAAAGATTTTCAATTCACCTCACAGATACATAAAAGTAGGTATTCAAAAAATTATGATACATCATGTCAAATATAATCTACAAGGAATAGTAATCTCCATATTCTGCCTTGTCTACTTTTAGATGAAACTGATAGTAAAATATGTGTAATAATGCCATCAACTTCTAAAAGATTACAAAGAAAACTTTGTTAAATTGGAATAAATATATATATGTATATATACACAAAAAATACATATACATTTATATATGATATATAATATATGTCATATATTATATATGTGTATATACGTATATACATATGTGTAATATATACACACACACACACATATATATATATATATATATATATATATGTATGTATTTTTTTTTTAGGGGCCAGCCCTGGAGTGCAGTGGCGTGATCTTGGCTCGCTGCAAGCTCCACCTCCTGGGTTCATGCCATTCTCCCGCCTCAGCCTCCCGAGTAAATGAGACTACAGGCGTCCGCCACCACTCACAGCTAATTTTGTTTTTGTATTTTTAGTAGAGACGGGGTTTCACCATGTTAGCCAGGATGGTTTCGATCCCCTGACCTCATGATCTGCCCACCTTGGCCTCCCAAAGTGCTAAGATTACAGGCGTGAGTAACTGCGCCTGGCTTAGAGTAAGTATATTTAAACCATCATGAATGTCTGCTTAGTTGCTTTAAGATTTGAGCCTTAATCTTTTCCAAGAGTCACTGAATAGTTCTTAGACTGAATTATAACTGGCATTGTTAGACTTAAAACAGCCAACAAAGGGAGCACTTCGGAGATTTCAATATAACTCACTTACCACCATATACTGTTTTTAGTAGTCTGATTTGCATATCTAAAAAGAAAAAATATAAAATAACTCATGTTTAAAAATGTATTTATAATAAGTGTATTTTGCTTCCTTGAATATATACACATACTATATTTAGGCTTACCAATATTCTAAATCCTTCCCTTATCAAGCAACTTCAAAATGTGATTTGGAACCCAGAGAAGAGTTAAAGGATAATCCCAGTTATTACACTGCATTGGAAAAATTAACTCTTAGAGTTTAACAATTGCAATTTTTGTTTGGGACTCATTGTGTCATGTAGTTATCTTAAAAATAACAATAATGATAACAACAGCAACAGAACCAACAATGTAACAGCAACAGAAACAACATAACAGTTTGGTAACCAAAATATGATTGAAAGCATTTAAATATTTAATTTAATTTCTCATGAAAATACTAATAGTTGTTTTTTCAAATGCGGAACAATACTTTATACAATTTCTCTTTGTCTATTTTTCTTACTCTTAACTCCTCTCATAAACAGGATAGACTCTCGTCAAAATTCTCTTTCTCTGAAAATAACGTTTTCCCAATCCACCTTGTACAGACTCTTGTATCTCTTGCCCCCTCCTTTTCTCACACAGTCATAGCCTATCCCATTTCTTAGGTTTCTCTTTTTCTGTGTGTAGGGTGGGATTATTTTCTGACAATCCAGAGGATGCTGTTTGGCTTTCCTTTGCTGAATTAGGGTCTCTTCTGGTTAATCAAATCAATTATTAGAAAACAAGTACTTCAAAGTTAGTATTCAATAGCTGTCAGCCATGCTTCTTGCCAGAGGAGGAAGATGGTATATTCACAAAGTCCTGTTTTTAATGTACGAATTCAACCACAAGACCTCCCTTAGTGCTTCAACTGAATTCACTCCACTAAGGCTCATGCTGACAGAAGATTCTCAATTAAGTTTCCCTTATTCATTCTGGTGTCTGCAGAATACCAAGGAGCAGTAATTATTTGTGTAACTGACGATAAAACAATCTCTAATATGAGCACTAGACTGGATTCCGGGCAACATTTTGTAAACTAGAGTTATAAAAAAATCAATTAACTAAATTATATTCAGCAAATTTTTAAATAATATTGAATAAAAGAAAATATAGAGTACATCACATGCATTAAGTGTTGAATTTCTTTAAATTGCATGTGCATGTACGTGTGTGTGTGTTTGTGTATATTGGATCCTTTGTGTAAAATGTATTTCTTATGGTAGGTCATAATCTAAAAAGTTTAAAACAGTCTAGGGGGTCTCATGATTAGATTTGAATAAACAATATTTCCTGTGCCAATGGGAACATGTCTATATCTAACCTGACTTTGAACCACAGATACAAAAATTTTATCATTACTGGCTCTGTATGTCTATCTTGGGTTTATTTTTTTCTGAGTTTTATAGGTTGGCCTTTCTCTCTAAAAGAAAGGTTCTTTCTCTCTTTGACAGCCTTTACTCTTTTCACAGCAAAATTGAGTGCACAGTACAGAGTTCCCCTGTACCCTTGCCCCTACATATGTACAGCCTCTCCCACTATAAACATCCCACATCAGAGTGGTACATTTGCTATAATCAATGAACCTACATTGCCGCATTATTATCACCCAAAGTAAATGGTTTACATTAGAGTAGATGCTTGATGTTGTACTTTCTGTGGGTTTTGACTAACGTAGCATGGCATGTATCCACTATTGTAGTGTCATACAGAATAGCTTCACTGCCCTAAAAGTTCTCCCTGCTCTCTCTATTCATCCTTCCCTTATGCATGAAACCATAGCAGCTACTCATCGTTGATCTTCTCTGTGGTTTTGCCTTCTCCAGAATGTCATATACTTGGAATCATACAGTACATGATTTTCCAGATTGGTGTCTTTCATTTAGTAATAAGCATTTAAGTTTCCGCCATGTTTTTCATGGCTTGATAGCTCACTTATATTTAGCACTGACTAATATTCTATTGTCTGGGTATACCACAGTTTATTTATCCATTCACCTAATAAAGGATATCGTGGCTGCTCCAAAGTTTCGGTAACTATGAATAAAACTTCTATAAACATACACATTCAGGTGTTTAGGGAATATAAGTTTTCAACTCTTTTGGGTAAATACTAAGGAAAGTGACTACTAGATTCTATGGCAATAATACATTTAGTTTTTTTTTTTTTTTTTAAACAAGCAAATGGTCTTCCAAAGTGGCTGTAACATTTGTATTCCCATCAGCAATGAATGAGAATTCTTGTTGCCCTATATTCTAACAAGCATTTGGTGTTGGTCTTTTGGATTTGGACCATTCTAGTAGGTAGATAATGGTATCTTCTTGTTTTAATATGCAGTTTCTTAATGACTTGTGATGTTGGGCATCTATATATATGCTTATTTTATATCTTTATATCTTCTTTTTTTTTTTTTTTTTGAGACAAAGTCTGGCTCTGTTGCCCAGCCTAGAGTACAGTGGAACCACTCTCGGCTCAGTGCAACCTCTGCCTACTGGGTTCAAGCGATTCTCCTGCCTCAGCCTCCTGAGTAGCTGGGATTACAGGTGCATGCCACCACGCCCGGCTAATTTTCTTTTGTATTTTTACTAGAGATGGGGTTTCACCCTGTTGGTCAGGCCGGTCTCCAACTCCTGACCTGATGATCTGCCCGCCTCGGCCTCCCAAAGTGCTACATCTTCTTTAGTGAGGTGTCTGTTCAGGTCTTTTGCCTACTTTTCAATTATTTTTTTAAATTGAGTTTTAAGAGTTCTTTGTGTATTTTGGATAACAGTCCTTTATTAGATCTGTTTATCGCAAATATTTTCTGGCACTCTGTGGCTTCTCTTCTCATTCTCTTCATAGGCATTTCTTTTGTTCCCAGTACAAATCATCTTCTCCAAAAGCAGAGATTCAGGCTACCCCTCAAGTTGCTAAAAGAGCCTAAGGATTTTTTTTCTTATTTTTAATTTGTGACCATAAGTTGTCTGGCATTGATGCCATTGGTGTCCAGATGTTTGTGGTTCTTCAAGCTATGCTGTAACCATCTGTTTGCTACCCTTGCCAGGTCCCCTACATGGATAGAACACTGTAGAAGGCAGTTCTTTTATGGTAAAAACAGGTCTGTCCTCTTTCTGTTGATGTATGGTTATAAATTCAACACGTATACGTCAGGTACTCTATGCCCGGCTGAATGATCTTTCAAAGTGTAGAGTCTGTAAGTTTATTCAATTTCATTCTTCTAATCACTGAACTTTGAATATACCCAGTAATTGAAAATAAGCAGAATGGGCAGTGTAGAATTTATATCAGAAAATTATATTTCTTATAAAAAGAGGTTTGGAAATGCTATGAATTCACTTACACATATCATTGTAACTAAGCCCACAGGGATAGATTTGGGTACATTATCTCATTTGTTATCAAATTACTCTAATTATATTAAGTATTTAAATAATATAGTTAAGCTATTATGTATTTTATATTATTTCTCCATTTTAAAAAATTGATTCTTTAAGTTATAGTGTGTATGAATGCTTTAAAATTATATTACCTCAAAAGCTTTTTGACAGAAGGCATAAAACAAATCTTAAATATGTAAATGTATCACAAACTAAAGAGGTATTTTTCAGTTGTTCTTACTTGATTTTACCATTTATTTGATAATTTTTAAAAATTTTGGCCAGTAAGTTTTATTCTGTTAATGAAATATTTATGTTTATAATGAATTAAACAAATCTCTTTTATGTATCACAACTAAAGTTATTACAATCATTGTAACTGACTTGACCACGTGAAACCTGCATTTAATCAAATTTTAACATATATTAACACAAATATTATTTATAAAATATTACCAATAATGTTTTGAGTATATTTAAATAGAGTGACAAGTTATGTCAACTGAGTTTAGAAAATGGTAATGGTATGTTAGGATGATATTAATTTGCTTCATGTATTTAGATTTAATCTTTAGTGTTTTTAAAATAAGTTATTATTATAAAATAAAATGCATTAATGAACACCACAGCCTTTGAATTTTTATTTCCATATTTTAAACAGTGTCTATAATCAGAATAAAGAGGGAATAATAAATTTAAGACACATTTTATTTCTGAAATGTGTTTCCTACCACTGTTGTTTAAAATAATAATGAAAAAGAAACCCCAAAGAAACAGGTGTGTGCTGAGATTGTTTGTATTTCCTATAAAACCATCATTGTTTAACTGTGATCAGGGAAAGTAAGTCCCAGATTTGAAATATGTTATCTTGACTAAAGCTCTTCAACATTTTTAGCTTGGTTCAGTTTAACTATTTAGCTATAGAGAAATAAAATTCCAATTCCTTTTAATATATTCTTAAGAAATAAAGTTTACTACTTGCTACCACAGAAAGAAATTTACCACATAGTATACAAAGAACAAGATTACAAGTTCCATACGTGTAGTATAGTTAAGTTACAGTTTCTATGAGTCACACGCTGAAATGTTACCCAAAGACCTAAACCTAGAGTGTGGAATATTTTAAAGTATTTTCTAGAACTTATTTCCCAGATTTCAATCTCTTACCCAGTAATTGATTTCATAAGTCACACAGTGATAAGTGCCATTATATCAGCCAAGCAGAAATACAAATAAAAAAATTAAAAATCTAGTTTGGAACTCTTATATGGTGGTTCTTTTGCTTTTTTCAAATTTAAAGCAGTCATTTTTTTGTTGTTGTTGACTAATACAGACTTTTTTTATTATTATTATACTTTAAGTTCTATGGTACATGTGCACAACATGTAGGTTTGTTACATATGTATACATGTGCCATGTTGGTGTGCTGCACCTGTTAACTCGTCGTTTACATTAGGTATATCTCCTAATGCTATCCCTCCCCACAACCCATGACAGGCCCTGGTATGTGATGTTCCCCATCCTGTATCCAAGTGTTCTCATTGTTCAATTCCCACCTATGAGTGACAACATGCGGTGTTTGGTTTTCTGTCCTTGCGATAGTTTGCTCAGAATGAAGTTTCCAGCTTCATCCATGTCCCTACAAAGACCATGAACTCATCCTTTTTTATGGCTGTATAGTATTCTATGGTGTATAGGTGCCACATTTTCTTAATCCAGTCTATCATTGACGGACATTTGGGTTGGTTCCAAGACTTTGCTATTGTGAATAGTGCCGCAATAAACATACATGTGCATGTGTCTTTATAGCAGCATGATTTACAATCCTTTGGGTATATGCCCAGTAATGGGATGGCTGGGTCAAATGGTATTTCTAGTTCTAGATCCTTGAGGAATCGCCACACTGTCTTCCACAATGGCTGGACTAGTTTACAGTCCCACCAACAGTGTGAAAGCATTCCTATTTCTCCACATCCTCTCCAGCACTTGTTTTTTCCTAACTTTTTAATGATTGCCATTCTAACTGGTGTGAGATGGTATCTCATTGTGGTTGGGCAATACCATTCAGGCCATAGGCATGGGCAAGGACTTCATGACTGAAACACCAAAAGCAATGGCAACAAAAGCCAAAACTGACAAATGGGATCTAATTAATCTAAAGAGCTTCTGCACAGCAAAAGAAACTACCATCAGAGTGAACAGGCAACCTACAGAATGGGAGGAAATTTTTACAATCTACCCATCTGGCAAAGGGCTAATATCCAGAATCCACAAAGAACTTAACAAATTTACAAGAAAAAATCAAACAACCCCATCAAAAAGTGGGCAAAGGATATGAACAGACACTTCTCAAAAGAAGACATTTATGCAGCCAACAGACACATGAAAAAATGCTCATCATCACTGGCCATTAGAGAAATGCAAATCAAAAGCAGTCACTTTTAATGCCACTAGTAAGGTATTTACATTCTTCAGACAATCTTAGGGAGTTACAAAGTTAAGACTGACCTGAGTATATCAAGAATTACATGGAATTTTTATACTTTTTTTTCATAATTTGTAAGCTGAACTGTATTACATTTTGTTAAAACATTTTAGATTTTTCAGTTTCCACTGCTGTGCTTGTGACTCCAATAATACTGACCAGGGATGGTCTGAGCTATAGAAAAAGGAGATTTTATTATATATAATAAACCAATTTGAGAGAAGAAGGGTAATTTGCTATAAGTGTTAAAAGTGATTGAGAAATCAATAAAGATCAAAAAATGAAAAACCCATTTTTAGAAATGTTAGTATAATTTTATAATTGTTAATGACATAATAAACAATATGCTGCAAAACTTATTACCAAAAAAACCTCTAAATAAATAAATGAATTGAAATGAGCAAACATGATTACAAAGCAGTAAGAGGGAGAAGTAAAATTAAAAGAAAAGAAAGTATTTTGTGCATTTAGTGTTCTTTACACATGTATAAAGCATTTTATTCTTGCTTTCTGGTTGTTTTGTGTTTTTTCTTCTTTCCTGCCTTCTTTTTTACGAAAGTAATTTTCTCTGGCAGTATATTTTTATTTTTTGCTGTTTGTATTTTGTGTATCTGTCATAGGGTTTTGGATTGGAGGTTACCATGAGTCTCGCAAATAGCATCTCGTAACCCATTATTTTAAGCTGATTACAGCTAAACTGTGATTATATGAACAAACTAACAAACTAGCAAGAGAAAACTAATAAAAACTCTACACTTGAACTTTATCTCCCTGGTTTTTTTAACCTTTTGTTGTTTATTTTTATATCTTGTTATACTGTCTTTATCATAAACAGTTTTTGTAGTTATTTATTTTTTTATTTTTTGAGATGGAGTCTCACTCTGTCACCCAGGCTGGAGTGTGGTGCTGCGATCTCGGCTCACGGCAACTTCTGCTCCCCGAATTCAAATGATTCTCTTGCGTCAGCCTCCAAAGTAGCTGGAAATACAGGCATGTGCCACCACACCTGGCTAATTTTTTTGTATTTTTAGTAAAGATGGGGTTTTACCATGTTGGCCAGGCTGGTCTCGAACCCCTGACCTCAAATGATCTGCCCACCTTTGCCTCCCAAAGTGCTAAGATGTACAGGTATGAGCCGCCTCACCCAGCCTATAGTTATTTTTTCATAGGTTAATCTTTTAGTGTTCTTACTCAATATATGAGTCATTTATACACCACAAATACAATGTTATAGTATTCACTAATTGTCTATGTACCAGTGGCTTTTGTGCTTTGAGATTATTTCCTATTGCTCATTAACACCCTCTTCTTTCAGATTAAAGAACTTCTGGTAGCATTTCTTGTAGAACAAATCTTGTGTTGATGATATCCCTCACCTTTTGTTTTTCTGGGAAACCCTTTATTTTGTTGGATGTACTATTCTAGGATAAAAGTTGTTTTGTTTTGTTTTTCCTTCAACCCTTTAAATATTTCATGCCACTCTCTCCTGGCCTGTCAGGTTTGCATTGAGAAATCTGCTGTTACACATATGAAGCTCCTTTATACGTTATTTTATTTTTTCTTTTCTCTTGTTGCTTTCAGAATCTTTTCCTTTATCCTTGACCTTTGGGAATTTTCTTATTAAATGTCTTCAGGTAGTCTTCTTTGAGTTAAATCTGCTTGGTCTTCTATTATTATTAACAGCTTTCTCTAGCTTTGTCATGTTCTGTGTTGTTATTTCTTTAAACTTTCTATCCCAATCTCTCTCTCTCTCTACCTCCTCTTTAAAGCCAATAATGCTGAGATTTGCCCCTTTGAGACTTATTGTCTAGATCATGTAGTCATGCTTTATTGTTTTTATTCTTTTTTTGTCTCCTCTGACTGTGTGCTTTCAAATAGCTTGTCTTCAAGCTCACCATTCTTTTTTCTTGATTAATTCTGTTGTTGAGAGATTCTGATACACTTTTTTGTATGTCAGTTGAATTTTTCAACACCAAAATTTCTGCTTGATTTTTAGACATTATATCAATGTCTTGTTAAATTTATCTGATAAAATTCTGAATTTCTTCTATATTTTATCTTTGATTTCACTGAGATTCCTCAAACAGAGATTTTGAATTCTCTCTGAAAAGTCATGTATCTCTGTCATTCTGGGATTGTTCACTGGTGCCTTATTTAGTTCATCTGGTGAGGTTATGTTTTCCTGGGTGGTCTTGCTACTTGTGGATGTTCATTGACACTTGGGAATTAAAGAATTAGGTATTTAGTCTGGTTGCAGTGGCTCACGCCTGTATTCCCAGCACTTTGGGAAGCTGAGGCAGGCAGATCACCTGAGGTCGGGAATTCGAGACCAGCCTGACCAACATGGAGAAACCCCATCTCTACTAAAAATACAAAATTAGCTGGGCATGGTGGCACATGCCTGTAATCCCAGCCTCTTGGGAGGCTGAGGCAGGAGAATTGCTTGAACCCGGGAGGCGGAGGTTGTGGTGAGCCAAGATCGCACTATTGCACTCCAGCCTGGGTAACAAGAGTGCAACTCTGTCAAAAAAAAAAAAAAAGATTTAGGTATTTATTGCAGTCTTCACAGTCTAGGTTCATTTGTACTTATCCTTCTTGAGAAGGCTTTCCAGGTATTCCAAGGGGAGTGAGTGTTGTAATCTAAGTTTTTGGTCACTGCACCTATGTCTACATTAGTGGCTCCCCCAATACCAGTAACGCTATGACTCTTGAAGAATTATAGAAGAACCACATTGGTGGTCTTGGGTATGATCTGGGAAAATTCCCTGGATTGCCAGACAGATTCTTTCATTTTCTTCCTTTACTTTTCCCTAGACAGATGAAGTCTGTCTCCATCCTGAGCTGACTGGAATTGGGAGAGGGGTGATGCAAACACTCCTATGGGCACCACCAGTGGGACTGTGGTGGGTCAGACCTGAAGCCAGCACAGCACCGGGACTCACTCAAGGTCTCTGGTGACTATCACCTGGCTACTGCTAATGTTTATTCAAGGCCCAAGGTCTCTGCAACCAGCTGATGGTGAATCCTGCCAGGCCTGTGTCTCCACCTTCAGGACAGCTGGCCCAATATGCTTCTAGAAATACTGTCCAGGAAGTAAATCCTTGAGTTGGAGACTTTAGAGGTCTGGTCTGGTGGTCTTTGGTTTTACTGTTGCTAAGCTGGTACGCAAGTTGCAAGACAAAGTCATTTTTACTCTTCCCTCTGCTTTTCTCAAGCAAAAGGATTTTCTCGCTGTGCCCATCACGGCTGGGAATGCACTGCATCACAGCTGAAGCCAGTATATTACTGTGTCTTGCCTGAGACCCATAGCAACTACTGCCTGGCTACCACTTCTGTTTATTCAAGGCCCAAGGGCTCATTAGTAAACAAATGATGAATCCTGCAAGGACTGGGTTTTTCCTTTCAGGGCAGTAGTTTTCCTTCTGGTCCAGAGTGGGTCTAGACATGCCATTTGGGAACTAGGGCCTAAAATGAGGGCTTCAGGCCTCTATTTTTTTTGCTTTATTTTGCTGTGGCTGAGCTAGTATCAAAGTTGCAAGGCAAAGTCTTCCTTATATTTCCTTCTTTTTTCCTCAAGTGGAAAGAGTCTCTTCTGGAGCTCCAAACTGTGCTGCTTGAGGTTGAGGGAGGGTAGATGTAAGCACTTCCTTGGCTGCCCTAGCTGATGTCTTATGCAGGCACCTGTACCCCAAGTCTACTGGTGCTGGGCCCAGCATAGCACCAGGATTTGCCCAGGAATTACAGTTCTTGTGGCCTAGACTGCTTTTGGAGTTTATTTAGAACCCCAGATTGCTCTAGGCCCCCATGGTGGGGTTAGCCAGAATTTAGGTTCTCACAGCTGGGCTGGATGATTCCTCTCTGGCTAGGGCTGTTCTGATTGTTATCTCTGTGACACCAACTGAATTTCTGTTCTGTGTTGCTTTCCATTGTGACAGGGAAGCACTAAATTCCAATGCAAAGTTGCACATCACCGCTCCTTCTTTCGCTTAAGCACACAGATTCTCTCTCCATGCCACGTGGCACTGCTGGGAGAGAGGGGAGGGACAGTGGAGGAAATTCAAGCCTATTTTTCCAATGCTCTTCAGTGCCTCTTTGCTTGCTATGATGTCAAAGTCAGGTACTGTGATTGCAGACCCGATTTCTTAAGAGGGTATTTTCTTGTGCTAGTAGTTGTCCAATTTGGTGATTTTAGTGGGGCAGGGGTGGTGGATCATCACTGGAGGGTTATATAAGCCATTTTGTTCCACCTGAGAATATATATCCTAAAGAAGATTTTGTAGAAGGAATCATTATTGTAAACAGTGGGATAGAGGAAAAAGTAAGCTTCAGGTAAATAATGCAATGAATCATTTTGAATTTTACTCCTTCATAGACATAAAAAAATCAGTTGTTGGATTAAAAAAAATTTAAAATGCAAGACCAGAAGCTATGTTTTATTTTTATTTTATTTATTTTTTAAGAATCTATGCACTCTTGACTCTGGAAATTAATGTTTGATGTGTTTTTATACATAATTTCACAAATAATTTCTTTAATATATTAGGCCATACTATATATTGATTATATTCAAATAAATGAAACTATTAATTAAATGTCATATTAATCCATCCATTATTCATGACAAATGTCCTACAATTAAATAAGTGTTGAAGAAATCAACCCCCCAATGGAATAATAAACAATTATAATTTCAGATGACGTAGTCTTCTGTTTCATATTTTAAGACTTAAAATTTAGACCTTTTATATCAAATTTTGGCACTTTTAAATCATAGATGTTTAAAACTGTGTTAAGATTCCTATATCATTTACATGATAAATAATATTTAAAATTTATAGCAAAAAATATATAAATGTCTTTTCAGTGTATGGTTTGTAATGACATATATGCAGTGTGCTATTTATAGAATTTAATAACTAATGATGTTTAATGTAAAGACTCATTCATGATATTTAACAAGGAAGTTACATTTATAGACAACAGAATTTATCCTGACTTCTGGTTCTTTCAGTGACAAATGTATACTCAATTTTTAGTTAACAATTTTAATTTCTTCCTGAAAATTGTGTCACACACATATTTAGTAATTTTAATGGGAAAATATGATGCAGTGTATTCCAACTCAAATACTTCTTCCCAGTTAAAGAAAAAATTAACAATTGAACAGTAAAAATTATTTACATAAGTGATAAACAACAACGTGGAAGTAAATAATACAGTTTGAACATGAAATTCATTGAAGAAAGAAGAAAAAATTCTATATCAAGTGGAGGTTGGTAGAAGAAGAGTGCAAATAACTCATCTTCAGAGGGTAATAAAGAGTTATTGAATCTCTTGCAGATGTCTAATATCAGAACCACATATACTTGGTAATAATAGAAATAACAATGACATTATTAGTTTCTTACAGGTTTTTAGTAGAAAAACTATTCAAAGCTAAATTTTTAGATCCATGCTTCCTGTTAAGAGACATCACAAAAAAAGCAATTGAAAATATAATTCTAAACAATTACACAGGCAAACATCTGTCAGGAATCTAAATGCCACATTCATAAGCATTACTGTAACTGTGAATTGACAATATGCTGCTATACATATTATTTCATTTCCACTATTGTTTTGGGAAGAGTAGAATAAGCCTGATTGTGAATTCAATGTAATTTTTCCCAAGTAAAGATTATGAGAAGGAGGAAAAAAGACAAACAAAAAACTACTGAAACAAAACAAAAAAATATTGATAGCTCCAGGGAGTTCTTGATTCAATACAGATGTCTCTTAGGGATAGGTTCACACAGCGCTTTGCAGAAATAGTTTGATTCATATTCTAAGCAGATCATTACATAATTTTTAAAACTTCATATTATTGTTATAGCAATATTGATAGATAGAACTAAGAATGTAAGAAAGATATAGTGTATGTTTAATAAATACACTGACAAAGAAAGGAGTTTGCTCTTTGACATCCTTTTCCTCATCAAAGCAATGTGCATAATGAGATGGTTAGCTAGGGTATAATAAAAGATCTGGAAGAGATAAAGAATCTGCTTCAGGAATAAATCTCAGTTTTGGTCAAGTAATTTCATCATCTGGCTGGAGTAGAGAGAGCAAATAGGTGGTAGATAAAACAAAAGAGCAATTAAGTCACCTATCCAAGGTCATGTAGCTAATGGATGATGGATCCGAAATTTAAGTTCAAGTTCCCTATCAATAATCTCTCTCTTTCAGAGTCCTGGTGCCGTGGCTCAATCCCATAATCCCAGCACTTTGGGAGGCTCAGGTGGGCAGATTACCTGAGGTCAGGAGTTCGAGACCAGCCTGGCTAACATGGTGAAACCCCGTCTCTACTAAAAATACAAAATTAGCCAGGCGTGGTGGTGCATGCCTGTAATTCCAGCTACTTGGGAAGCTGAGGCAGGAGAATCACTTGAACCTGGGAGGTGGAGGTTGCAATGAGCCAAGATCATGCCACTGCACTCCCGCCTGGGCAATAGAGTGAGACTCTGTCTCAAATAAATAAATAAATAAATAAATAAATAAATAAAAATAAATAACCTCTCTCCTTCATAGAAAGTGGCTACTCTATATGCCTATGCTTCCAAATCTATTAAATTGTGTGTATGAACAAACATGTACCCCACACATTTGCATGCACACACACATACCAATTTAACAGTGAAACCTATTTACATAAGTAATAAGCAACAGTTTGGAAGTAAGTTGTTATATATATATACACATTCATTTCTATTAAATCTTCCTGACATTTAGGAATATTAATAAGCTTTCTCAATGTCACTAAATTAAAAAGTAGCAAGCAAATTTGAGCTGAAATATTTTTACCTCCAAAGCCAGTGGCTCATACTTTGCTATCTCTTTCTTTAGTCTATACAAATATAAACAATTGAGGATTTCATATCCTAAAAGTACATTCCCTCATTCTAAACAACCATTCCAACACATAAAACTGGGCCTAAATAGGGGTGGGCCAGAAGAGTTGTTTTTATTTTTTAGTTCTAAATCATGGTGAAATAAACTTTTCTATAGTTAAAGTGTCCTTGGAGACTACAGATAATTTTACAAGAAAAGAAATTGAAGTTAGAAGTTATAAGGGAAAGCTGATTAAATGTACAGAGACCTGCCTTCTGCTTCTCTCCACACATATTCATTTCAAGGAAAGCGTTACCAACTAATACCAACTATAGATAGATTTCCTTTTCTCTGTTTATGTAATAAAGTGAAAGCAAGACTTCACATAAAAGCTAGAGTTGAAAGTTTATAATTTAATTTTAAATCAAATATTAATTACAATCTCAATACTCATCAAGTATATAATAAATTCAATTTAATTAAATTATTTCATCTGTGGATAGCACCAACACTTACTATTTTCATATCTAAGATTTTTCTCCTCATTAAAGGAATTCTAAAACTAAAAATATTTGAGATTTTAACAAATCAATTTTTTAGACTGAAAAAGAAAGATATTGGGCTACCCAGTCCTATTTATACTTTTAAATAACAGCAGTAGTTAGAAAAAGGTCAATTACCTATATCTATTTTCATAAGCGCCAAAAACAAACATGAATGCATACTAATGGATATTGTGCAAACTTTTAATAAGCAATTAATTTGAAAATGCATTGTAAAACTGGAATGAGAAAGAGAAAAATGGAGAGAGAGAAAAAATTCAACCTAATCATTTTTTCATAGGAATTTATAGTTAGGAAGTAATAAGAGAAATTTATAACAGCATTGATAATATTATTTATTGCAATGTCATATATAATAGCAAAAAAAGAAAATAAAATGAGACACATCATAAATAATCCAAAATAACAAATAGCTTAATAAAGAAGGATGTTAAACCAAATTGTGTAGTTAATATAAACTATTTTTCAGAAATAATGAAATACAGGCAGAAGTTAAGGAGTTTTCAAAAAGCATGAACAAAAACCAGAATTAGTAAGTACATTTAAGCACAGAATTTTAAAATAAAATAAAAAGAATACATAAAACTTTGGCAAATATAATTAGAACAACATGAGAAAATTAAATGAAGTAAAGAATTAAACACGATAAAATCATGAGGGACATGAAAGATACTTTTATAAAGTATAAAAGAATATAACACTGCTGGTAATTTTAAAAACTTAGATTCTACTTAAATTTTTCTATAGCATAGAAGAACAAAAACTGACTTAATCCATTACCAAATATTAAAAACATAACAGAAAAAAGTCATTTGTGACTCTCTGATTAAAACAGATTTCAAAAATAGCAAAGGAAACATATTAACTGAATTATGTAATGTATTAAAAGATCCATCAAACTGACCATGTAAGACCTAGTATCAGAATTCACAGATAGTTTTTAAATTAGAAAAATACAAAAGGACTTTTTTTTTTTTTTTTTTTTTTGACGGAGTCTCGCTGTCGCCCAGGCTGGAGCGCAGTGGCGCGATCTCGGCTCACTGCAAGCTCCGCCTTCCGGGTTCACGCCATTCTCCTGCCTCAGCCTCCTGAGTAGCTGGGACTACAGGCGCCCGCCACCACGCCCGGCTAATTTTTTTGTATTTCTAGTAGAGACAGGGTTTCACCGTGTTAGCCAGATGGTCTCGATCTTCTGACCTCGTGATCTGCCCGCCTCGGCCTCCCAAAGTGCTGGGATTACAGGCGTGAGCCACCACTCCCGGCCTATTATTACTTTTTTAAGTTACCGTCACTTTATTTTATTTTATATATTTTTTTCTTATTTATTTATTTATTTATTTGAGATGGAGTCTTGCTCTGTCGCCCAGGCTGGAGTGCAGTGGCACCATCTCTGCTCACTGCAAGCTCTGCCTCCCAGGTTCACGCTATTTTCCTGCTTCAGCCTCCCGAGTAGCTGGGACTACAGGTGCCCGCCACTACACCCGGCTAATTTTTCTATACTTTTAGTAGAGACGGGGTTTCACCGTGTTAACCAGGATGGTCTCGATCTCCTGACCTCCTGATCCGCCTGCCTCGGCCTCCCAAAGTGCTGGGATTACAGGCATGAGCCACTGAGCCCAGCAGCCATATTTTATATATTTGTTTGAGACAGGGTCTCACTCTGCTGCCCAGGCTGGATTGTAATGCCGCAATCACAGTTTACTGCAACCTCAATCACTGGAGCTCAACTGATCCTCCCACCTCAGCCTCCTGCATAGCTGGGACTACAGGTGCATACAGCCATGCCTGGCTAACACAATAAAAATTATTAGGTCTAAATTTTAGATTGATTCTAGCTACAAAAACAAACAAACAAACAAAACAAACAAACAAA
Organism: Homo sapiens; assembly: GCF_000001405.40. Taxonomy (NCBI): domain Eukaryota; kingdom Metazoa; phylum Chordata; class Mammalia; order Primates; family Hominidae; genus Homo; species Homo sapiens. Next base: position 165,398,551 of record NC_000003.12, on the reverse strand, counting down.
CAAACAAAAAAAACTTGACCACTAAGGGGATGTATTAATGCATATAACCAGGTATACAAATGAGAGCAACTTCTGAATAATTTGATTCACTGCTGAGTGAATTCACCAAGGACTCAAGTTGTTTCTGACTCTCTGTTCTGCCTCCTCACTGTTGACTTTATATTTCCTTAGTCTTTGTGGTAATTGTGTACTTGGAAAGCTCAATGTATTATAAAAGGCTGACAAGGTGAGTTGTGCAGGTAAAAGAAAGCTAGTATGTATGTTCGGTTGTGCAACATATGGTACACTTATTGATTGTTGGACACTCTCTTAGCCTATGCAAGAACGTTTACCACCCCTGGACTCCACTAAGGAAATGATAATAATACCCTCCCCATTTCTGTGACCACTAAAATACTTTTACATATTTGAGAAATGATGGCAGTAACACCACCATTGAGACACACTGATAATGCCACTTTGAATAGCAAAATTAACAAATTAGATTTAAAGGAAACATTTAGTACATCATATACAACATGTAGAAAATACATATATTTTCTTTGCAAATACACATATTTTCTTTGCAAATACACATGATACATTCCAAAAACTATCTATGCAAAGTAATACCTCTAAGCTGTGGTAGCAATATTCTTTAGATGTTTTAGAAAAAGTGGGGCATCATTTCATTTTCTTGTATGATTATATCTAAGCATGTCTATAATTATACTTCTTGAGGATTTTACTTTATTTTTTAAAGTTTTTTTAAGTTTTTAAAATTTTAAAAGAAGCTTTTAAAAATAACTCAATATTTTTTAAAACTTTTTTAACTTATTAACTTTTTAAAACTTATTAACTTTTAAAAACATTATTTTTAAAAATACAATATATTTTAAAAACTTTAAACAATAAAGTTCAGGGGTACATGTGGGTGTTTGTTACAGGTAAATTGTGTGTCATGGGCATTTGGTGTATAGATTACTTAATCACCCAGGCAATAAACATGTCACCCAATAGGTACTTTTCCAACCCTCTTCCTCCTCCTGTTCTGCACTCTCTGATAGGCCCCAGTGGATGTTGTTTCCTTCTTTGTATACATGTGTTCTTAATGTATAGCTCCAATTTATAAGTGAGAACATGTGATATTTGGTTTTCTCTTCCTGTGTTAGTTTGCTTAGAATAAAGGCCTCCAGCTCCATACATCTTGCTGCAAAAGACATGAACTTGTTCTTGTGCTGTGTAGTATTCCATGGTACATACGTACCACATTTTCTTTATCTGATCTACTGTTGATAGGTACCAAGTTGATTCCAATTCTTTACTCTTGTGAATATAGTGATGAATATGTGAGTGCATATGTCTTCTTGGTAGAACTATTTGCATCCTTTTGGGTATATATCCAGTAATAGGCTTGCAGGGTCAAATGGCAATTCTGTTTTAAGTTCTTTGAGAAATTGCCACACTGCTTTCCATAATGGCTGAATAAATTTACATTTCCATCAGTAGTGCATAAACATTTCCTTTTCTCTGCAACCTTGCCAGCATATATTATTTTTTGACTTTTTAGTAATAGCCATTCTGAATGGTGTGAGATGGTATCTCTTCATGGTTTTGATTGCATTTATCTAATAATTAGTGATGTTGAAAATTTTTTTCATATGCTTGCTGGCCATGTATATGTCTTTTTTTGAAAAGTGTCAGTTCATGTCCTTTACCCACATTTTAATGGGGATGTTTTTTGCTTGTTAATTTGTTGGTTATTTACAGATTATGTATATTAGACTGTTGGATGCATAGTTTACAAATATTTTCTCTCATTCTGTAGGTTTTCTGTATACTCTGTTGATAGTTTCTTTTGTTCTGTATAAGTCTCTAAATCTATTAGGTCCCATTTGTCAATTTTTGTTTCTGTTGCAATTGCTTTTGGCATCTTTGTTATAAAATCTTTTGCCAGTGCCTATGTCCAGAATTGTACTTCCTGGCTTATGTTACAGGTTTTTTTATACAACCATTTAAGACTTTAATTCATCTTGAATTGATTTATGTATATTTCAGTGTTCTGCATATGACTAGCCAGTTACCCCAGCACCATTAAATAGGGAGCCCTTTCCCCAGTGTTAGTTTTGGTCAACTTTGTGGAAGATCAGATGACTGTAGGTGTGCAGCATTATTTCTGGGCTCTCTATTCTGTTCCATTTGTCTATTTGTCTGTTTTTGTACCAGTATCATACTGTTTTGGTTTCTCTAGCCTTGTAGAATTGTTTGAAGTCGGGTAATGTGATGTCTCTAGTTTTGTTATTTCGTTTATAATTGCTTTGGCTATTTGTGCTCTTTTTTCATTCCATATGAATTTTAAAATAGTTTTTTTTCTAATTCCTTGAACAATGTCATTAGTAGTTTGATAGGAATAGCACTGAATCTGTAAATTGCCTTAGGCAGTATGATCATTTTAAAAATATTGATTCTTCATGAGCAGGGATTTTTTTTTTTCATTTGTTTGTGTAATCTGTGATTTCTTTGAGTAGTGTTTGGTAACTGTTGAGATCTTTCATTTCCCTTGTTAGCTGTATTCCTAGGTATTTTATTGTTTTTGTGGCTATTGCGAATGGGAGTGCATTTTTGATTTGGCTCCCAGCTTGGACGTTGTTGGTGTATAAAAATGCTACTGCTTTTACACAATGGAACTTTGCTGCTGAAGTTGTTTATTAGATAATGTCAATGGAAAGAGGCAAACTCTGTAAAAATATTTGAAGAGATTTATTCTGAGGCAAATATGAGTGACCATGGTCCATGACACAGCCCTCAAGAGTTCCTGAGAACATGTTCCCAAGGTGGCACATGGTTTGGAATACACTGCTTTGGTCCAGAAAAGCTGGACATTTAAGGAATACATTGCTTTGGTCCAGAAGAGCTGGACAACTCAAAGCTGGGTGTGGGGTGGGGGGAGAGGTGCTTCCAGGCTATAGGTTAATTTAAACATTTTCTATTTGACAATTGGTTGAGTTTGTCTAAGGACCTGGGATTAATAGAAAGGAAATGTTAAGGTTAACATAAAATATTGTGGAAACCAAGGTTCCTTTGAAGTCTTATAGTGGCTCCCCTTAGAGCTAATAGATGACAAATGTTTCCTATTTAGATCTTTAAAAGGTGCTAGGCTTTTAGTTAATCTCTTTAGGATTGAGAGGGCCAGGAAGAAAAAGATCTAGCTATGTTAACAGAGATTCTTTACTGATGCAAATTTTCCCCCACAAAGGACAGCTTTGCAGGGCCATTTCAAGATAGGGCAACAAAAGTTGTCTTGGGGTAAAATATTTAGTTTTTCTTTCTTGTCTTGTAATATTATGCCAGAGTCAGGTTGGAAAGTAAGTCACAATATATACGGTTAAATAATACTCATCAGATAATAATTTATGGTTTATAGGGCATGACTCCCCAGACCCCTTAGATAGGAATTTAAAACAGAAGAGACTGGGGTGATAGAAATATTCTATATCATGATTATGGTAATGGTTACATTGGCGTATATATTTGTCAAAACATACCAAATTTTATACCTAATTTTATGTAAATTACCCAAATAATTTTGATTAAAAATTTGTATTTAAAGTTAAATCTAAGCCTTATATTATTAACACTAGTTTAAAACAGTTTGAAGTTAATAAATTTACAAATTAACACATAAAACAAACAGCAGCAGAATAAACTCAAAGAAGCAAACATAAGAACATAATGCAAAGAAATAAAAAAAATAGAGTTCAGAAATGATAAAAACTGGCTCTTTGAGAAGACCAATAGATAGACAAACCATTGGAAAATTAATTTAAGCAAAACCAGAAAAGACAAAAGGAACAAAATTATAGATGCCACAAAGATTAATCAGTTAAGAAAATTTTAAGAACAAGTTTGTACCAACACATCCAAGTTAGATGAAGTTAATAAATCTTCAGAAAAATACAACTTACCAATTCTTTCTTGAAAAGAAATTAAAATTCCAAGTAATCATAACTAATAAAAAATCGTAATCAGCTAAATATCTTCCTACAATGAAGATGCATGCCCAAATATATTACAAGTGAGTTCTATCAACATTCAATAAACAGTTTACTCCACAATATACCAGAGAGGTTTTTTGTTTGTTTGTGTGTTTTGTTTTGAAACAGAGTCTCACTCTGTCGCCCAGGCTGGAATGCAGTGGCACAATCTCAGCTCACTATAACCTCCACCTCCTAGGTTCAAGCGATTCTCCTGTGTCAGCCTCCCAAGTAGCTGGGATTATAGGTGTGCACCACCACATCCAGCTAATTTTTGTATTTTTAGTACAGACGGGATTTTGCCATGTTGACCAAACTGGTTTCCAACTCCTGACCTCAGGTGATCCACTCGCCTCGGCCTCCCAAAGTGCTGGAATTACAGTTACAGGCATGAGCCACCGCACCCGGCCACCAGACAGGTTTTAATCAGAGAACTAGAACAATTAGGAATAACAGGGAATAAAGGCCAACTAAGTAATTTGGAGGACGCAGTATAAAATGAAAATGCAGGGCTTATTGCATGAAAAGCAAGAACAAAATTTTCTCCTTTTTTTCCCCAGTATCTTTTTTTTAATTTTTCATGATGTTTTTATTTGCTATTTAAGGTCACACTGCCTTGGGCATGGGAATACTTGTGAGTGAGTGCAGACCTCAAGAATCACAGAGCAATCCCATGCCTTGATGCCTGGGGTCCATGTATCTAACTCAAAGTCTCTCCATCTTTATCTACAGGGGGCTGCTGAGTCTAGAGGACAGCAGTAGTTGCTGGGCAGTGGCTAGGAAGTGGACAGCTAGAAGTACTTCCAGGAATGCAGGACAACATGTGAGCCAAGGCCCCAAGTACCTGTCTTATGCTGCATTGTCCCATCAGATTTTGCTTACATGACAAAAATTTAAGGATAAAACTATTAAAGGTTTTAAAATATCAACCACAGGGCAAAGGCATCATTCTAAGTCTGCGGCCCAATGTGATGATGTACTGGCTGCAAGCCCAGGGAGCAGACCCTGGAGTCAGGCCTTACATAATTGTGGAAGAATATTTTTAAAAGCCTATGAAAAGCTGTAGCATCCTCAAGATACCTCTGCATCTTGAGGTGAGCCTCAAGTCACTAAATTAGCATAGACAGCAATTAGGAAATTACACACACATGAAGTAGAGGAGAGTAAGGATCAACTGGAATTCACCTGGACAAACTGAGAGACACAAGAATACTCTGAAATCTCTATCTCTCAACACCTCCAATCTCCTGCAGAGGAAACGAGTGTCCTTAACAACAAGTATCTAGCTCAGGAGTCAGAGAATCTGAAGAAGGATGACCTACAAAACCTAGACAAGCTGAGGGCCCAAAAAGCACAGCAAAGGAGGAGATATATATATATATATATATATATGTTTCCAATACAATAGCCACTCAAAAAAAAAAAAAAAGGAAAAGACACTCAGACCAAGAAGCAGAAGAGAAGCAAATTTCTTTAACCTAGAGTACATGTAACTCTTAAGTGGAACATCAAAAGCTTCTAAGTTATTTGTAACATTCCATTTCTTATTCTGGGAGATTAGTACATAAATACTTATTTCATTATTGTTTTGTATTGTATAGCCTTATGATTTTATATCTCTGTGTGTATAATATATCTCATAGTAAAAAAAAAATGAAAGAAAAGAAAAGAAAAAAAGAATTAGAGACCTAGAGAATTTATTCAGAAGGCCTAACATCTAGCTAAATAAAGTTTTGGAAAATATATAAAATAGAAAGTGAAGGACATTACCAAAGAAATAACAGAATAAACTATGCAAGAACTTCATAAGTACTCAGCTTGGAAGTTCACGCCACACATCAAGGCATACCATTATGATTCAGAATACCAGAAAAAATGAGAAAAGCTGAAGAGTTTCAGAGAATAATGGGTCACAAAGATTCAGTCTGGCATCATATTTCTCACCAGCCTGATGAGTCTAAAAGCTACTGAAGCTACAAGGGGAAAATAAATATAAAATCATAAAATATATTCAGACACATAAGAACCCAGGAAAATGTCCTCCCATATACCTTCTTAAACATATTTACTGAACGATATGTTCCAAAGAGGCAAGGAAATATTAATTAGCTAATCAGTCAGTTCATCAGATGAAGACATGGGATCTAGGAAATAATGAATCCCATCAGGGAATAAGATAAGGCAAGGAACCAAAATGACAGCTGGGCAGCAGACTAGAAGCCACCAGTTTGGACTAAAGTTGGAACAAGGATGCAAGAAGAAATAAATTTATTTTAAAAAAAAAGACTTGATAAATGGATAAACTGAAAAAATAAAGACCCTAATAAATGGATAATCTGAATAAACATTTTAGAATATCTCATATATATGATATTCTCTCTCAATATATCATATATAGATATGCTATATCTGTATGATATATGACATACAGATATGATATATCTGAATGATATGATATATATAGATATCTAAATATATATGGATCCATAGAAATATCTATATCTCTCTATATTTATAGAAAGAGAAATATGAATGATATGCTCCAAGGAAGCAAGGGAATATTAATTAGCTAATCAATCAATTCATCAAAGGAAGACATGGGATCTAGGAAACAATGGATCCCATTAGGGAAAAAGATGAGGCAAGGTACCAAAATGACAGCTGGGCAGCAGACATTTTCCTGGGCTCTGATGTGTCTGAATATGTTTCATGATTTCATTATATTTTATGTATGAATATATATATAGAGATAGATACACATAAATCTGTAGATCTACATATATAAAAGAATAAATATATAAAGAATACCTATATATTGATATAGAAAGGAATGTAGAAAAAAGAAGTATTTTTATAGTAAACTACTTAGATTTAAAGACTGCCTATATTTGCAGTTATCCTGTGAAAACTGACTTTTCTAATATTGGAGGAAATGGTAAAAAAAAGACATCCTGATATTGCTAAAGAAATAAATCCTTGGCCATGATAGCAGTGAGTTAATAAATATTTTTAACATAGAAACCAAAAATTAATAAGAAAAACCAGTAAAAGCACATCATTTAACAATTTGTGCACTTAACAATATATATTATATTTAAATACATTAAATATGTATTATATTAAATACATTAATATTTAATACATTTAACAATATGTATTATATTTAAAAGCCAAGGGGGAACAAAAAAAATTAAAGTCATTGCCTATGGGTTATTGGGAGAAGAAAGCTTAAGGCTACAATTTTTTATTCAATTAATTAAGATATTTAGCATCGTCAAAATTAAGATTTTTAACATTATGAAAATAAAATGCCATTTTATTAAAAAAACACACAAATCTATGTTTAAAAAAGACCAGCAACTTCAAGTTTAAAATATACAACTTAACACATTGAAATGTTCTCATTCTACATAGAATAACAACTAAGAAAGTCCTCAAAAAATTGCTAAATATGTAACTAATCTCAAAAACCAAAAGAACATTTCCTTGAATAAGAAATACACATCTCTTTAAGAAGGAAGCGCCCAGAAAGCCACAACCAAAGTAGGGTCAGACACCACTTTGTTAAAAGGCAAATACTGGCCTGGCGCGGTGCCTCACGCCTGTAATCCCAGCACTCTGGGAGGCGGACGAGGGCGGATCACCTTAGGTCGGGAGTTTGAGACCAGCCTGACCAACGTGGAGAAACCCCATACCTACTAAAAATACAAAATTAGCTGGGCTTGGTGGTGCATGCCTGTAATCCCAGCTACTTGTTAGGCTGAGGCAGGAGAATCGCTTGAACTCGGGAGGCAGAGGTTGCAGTGAGCCGAGATAGCGCCATTGCACTCCAGCCTGGGCAACAAAAGCGAAACTCCGTCTCAAAAAAAAAAAAAAAAAAGGGAAATGCTGAATTGCAACATGGAAGACACAAACAGACTGTCTCAAGTGCCCAGGATGTGCAGTAATTTGACCTTCACATATATGCCACTGTTCCCAAAGTGTTACAAGGATTATTTTCTGGAGTGCAAATATATATTTCTGTGTAAACAATCTTTCATTGTTTCTTACAACAAACCTAGACACCTTAGCTTAGTATACAATGCTCACCATAACCTGGGAGCTGCCTTCCTCTCCAGACATAGTTTTTGCCACGATTCCTCTCATACCTTACATTCTAGCCATGCGAGGTGGCTTACATTTCTCTAACTGTGTCAGATGGTTTATCTGTGGCCATCCTACTTCGTCTATGTGGAATGCTAGCACCTCAGGTTGTTCTTCAATGCACCCACCCTCTCCCTGCTAGGCTGTCTCTTACATTAAAACACAAAGTGTCATGTCTATAAAGAATTTTCTGACTCCATAGATAAAGCCAACATCCTTTGCTTTTTATCCTTTATTTTGCCCTATACTAATATCTAACAGAAGACCAGGTGACTCTATATTACCTTTTTCTTTTTGTAGCCAAGTCTTACTTCTGATTACTGGTCTGGAAACTCCTTGAGGGTAGATACTACGTCTTGATCTCTTCTACATCTCCAGTACTTCGAGCAGTACTTGGCATATAACAGACACTTAGTAAGTGTTTTAGTAATTCAGTGAACGTTGAATGAATGAATGAAAAATAAATGTTGCTTTAAAATGTCTTCTGCAGCTTGAGAAGTCGGCAACCTGTCAGTATGATAATATAGGCTGAGACAATCATTGCTTCTGACAATAGAATAAATGTCATTGCTTATAAGCACAACAGAATAAATGTCATTGCTCTGCGTCTCAACAGGATAATCACTGAAAGAGTGAACTTTAGGAAAGTGATTGTGGTTGCTATTACAGAATAACCAGATTAACACAGGCAACTGCTAATGTCTAAGTGTTTCCTCTCTACATTAAGCCAACCTAAGTAATAAATGGAAAATATTTTACAGGGAAAAAAAACAAGACAAAATTTCAGACTAGGAATCCATACTCAATACTTTCTGTATTATATGTATTCTTTTTCATTGATAAAAATGCAAAATTCCCTGTAATACTGGTGAAATAAGTATAGTTTTCTTAAATAAGATAATCTATGCATTCTTGAATAGTGATAAATATTATTGTCATATTTTATAATATAAATTAAATAAAGCATTCCCTTTATTGTGGTAGCTGAAGTAAGTCTGTAGCTATTTTAAAACATCAAGCAAGGTTTTCTTAGGGCTTCTTTTTCAAATTGAACAATATCCACAAAGGAACTACAACAGGCCCTTTTCTCCAATCTTACATCATCAGAAGCATTTCTTTGCCACAGGCCATCTGGAGGATTTGGAAACAGCAGCAAGGGAATAGAGGTTAATGAGAACTCAGAGTACTTCCAGCTGACATGTCAAAATTGGTATAACAAAAATAAACTAACAAAACTATTTTCTTGTTACCTACTTTCTTTTTATGCATTTTCCCTAGCTATATGTAAATTTACTTTCCTGATAAACTCTCCTGCCTCTCTTCTTCAATTAAAACCTTATCATCCCCATAAATCTACCTTACCTTTAATACATTCTTTATTCTCCATTACTCTCACTTTGATTCAAAACTTCCAAAGAATGAAAAAAACTAGACTATATGTCAATAATCTACCATTCCAAGTTTTGGAATCACAAAGTAGTGCCACTTAGATAAGTACCCAAGGAGACAGATGTTTCAGACTTAATTCAATATTCTTCATAATGTTGGTGGAAGAGCTGAGGCAGGTCTGGCTTGTCTGTCATAATATAAAAGAGTCTTGGAAGATGTCTGGGGTCCAGGGTCTAAAACCCCTCGTGGCCTTTGGAACACCAAGCTCTGTGCCAAAGAGTGGAAGGCTGCCCTGCTGCACCACAAATCTAAGGCCAGGGCATAAAACCCCTCGTGGCTTGAATGGAACCCAGGGCTCAGGGCATAAAACCCCTTGTGGCATCTGGAATGTGCACAGACCTGTTGGTTGCTCTCCCAGGCTCGTAAACATGTTCTCTATTATCTCAAGCAACAGAGCATATTCTATATGCGTCAAAGAAAATGCTAAACCATCACAGCTACGCTTGATGCACCACTACCTTTCTACCCTCCATGTCCTCACGCCCTCACCTGTTTACCCTCACATCCTCACCACCTGCTTCTTTGTTTGATCACCAATAAATAGTGTTGGCTCCCAGAGTTTGGGGACTTCACAGACTCCAATCTAGTGTTGGCCCCCTGGACCCACTTTATGCACTCTTAACTTGTCTTTTCTCATTCCTTTGACTCCGCCAGACTTTGTAGCCCACACAGCCTGGTGTTGGGTCTGATCACCCCAACACATAAAGACACCTATTTGACAGGGCTTATTAATTCCTACATTTACAATAAAGTGTCACTGAAAAGCCATGAGGTTATAACTTTATTCTTGAGATCCAGAAGATATAACTTTAATATCACTTAGATTTTTTCCAATGAACTATTATCTTCCATCATTTTCTTCTTTTTCTTTTGAGATGAGTCTCACTTTGTTGCCCAGGCTGGAGTGCAGTGGCATGATAGCTCATTGAAACCTCGGCCACCTGGGTTCAAGTGATTCTCCTGTCTCAGCCTTGTGAATAGCTGGGATTACAGGCTCACACCACCAGGCCCAGCTAATTTTTGTATTTTTTTGTAGAGACAGGGTTTCGCCATGTTGGCCAGGCTGGTCTTGAACTTTTGACCTCAGGTGATCCACCCCCCTGGACCTCCCAAAGTGCTAGGATTACAGGCGTGAGCTATCACACCTGGCTTCTTCCATCACTTTCACTGATGATCGTCGTGATGCAGAGTCATCAAAAAAGTATAAATTATTATTATTATTATACAACTTACTAATGCAAACAAATATGTAATATATCTTATAAGTGTAATTATTAAATCTGTGGTAGAAAGAATAAGTTATTAAACCTATAAACACAAATAGTCAACATACCCAGTAATTTTGATGTTACTAATTTTGGAAGTTGGATCTTATGTGTCTTGATAATTAGGTTTTGTTTTATAGTAGCAGATTCAAAAATTGTATTTCTTAACTTCAATACCCAGCTCTGTCATTTATATTTATGTGACTTTCAGCCATCAGCTGATATACTTAAACCTCAGTCTCCTCATCTGTAAAATGTATATTACACTTGTATTATATCATAAGATTTCTGTGAAGATAAAATGAAACCTGGTTTAGGAAACTAGCACATTATCTGTCATGCAGTGGGTGTTTAATAAATGGTAGCTACTATTATTTGCAAAGAGCCATAGAGAGATGTTATACAACTATAACGTTCTTACTAAACACAGAAACTGTAAACAGGCATGGTTCCTACAAGAATGTCAGCTCAGGGTTATACAGGGTTAGATATACGTCTATGCTGTTTTTATTTGCCTGGCTTATGGATGAAAATGAATAGGGATGGCCTTAAATAAAACATTGAGGTCTCATACCCCCAGTTCTTTCTACAAATCTTGTTTTATGGCTTACCAAAACAGTTTTAATTTCTAACCCATTATTTTTCTTCTCAGTGGCCTTAAAACAACACATACACATATGTTTTCTGAAGTCTATTTCTAAAAAAAAAAAAAACTATAGAAGGCAATGTGCCTGGTACTTAAGTTTATCTATATCTTCATGTTACTTTCTTGTTCAGTTTCTTGCATTTTGACTGTACGTCTTTCATCTCCATTCTTTATATTTGCTTCAGGAAGTTTTAAATTATAAACTCAACCTACATACTCTTACAAAACTTGACCAACTGACTACATAGGAAGCTGTTTTCCAATATTAAGAAAAATAATACCAGGACATGTGACTGTTTTTCTTCCAATGCCATCCTTTCCTTTTTAATTTTTTACAGTTTATGTATTAACCATAAAATTTCACTCTTTAGCAAATGAAATCTGCTTAAGGATTTCCTAGGAATCTTAAACCCCTTCTGGTCTTTGCTTGAATTAGCACTATTTAAATGATTGTCGTATAATAAAATGTATGCTCAATAAGCAATTATTCAGACAACCATTTCTTTGAGTTTTCCTTACTGCAGCTAATGTAAGAAAATTCAAAATGTAGAGACTTTTGGGGAAATAGGACTGCCATATTTACAAATGCATAAAGCCAGTTTTATAGAAAATCCCATGCAGATAGGGAGTCTTAGGGACTGAAGTTGGTTGGTTGTCCAAACTGGTCAGAAAGAAGAGTCACTGGATAAATATTTGCCCTTTCAATTAGGCAGCTGAATTCTAAGATGAGAAATAGAAAAGAGACTATGCCAACATTGTCTGAAGCTGGATAGAAAGAAGAAAGAATATAAAAGTAAGGAATGAGGACAAGTGAATGATATACAAGTTGGCTTGGTTAAAAGCATAGTTTCAGGAAAACATTGCATTGCATTATATACACAAAATAATTACCATGACATTGATTTAACATGATAACCCAATTTTGTAATCCAATTCAGCAAACATTTATTGAAAGCCTATTATTGTATTACATACAATAATAAATAATACATCAAGGATTATACTATGTGCTGAGGATACAACTATGACATGATCCTTATCTTTACTATGGCTATCATCTAATGGAATGGCTCAGCTCAAATTTGATTTAATTTTTGAAAATTACAGTTTCTAAATTAATGATATGGCATATGAGTTAAGCTAGACAAGTCAAAGAAGATTTCAAGACTTCAATTATCATGATCTCAGATAATTTGGTAATATTATGAGAAAGGGTAAAATAAATACGCATGCATTCAAAACTTTAACATAATAAAATAAAAACAGAAATAACATAAAAGGATAGTCATGTGTTAAAGAGTGATATTTTAGTCAACAACAAACTACATATATGACACCATAAAATGTCATATATGATACCATAATATAATACTATATTTTTCTGTACCATTTCTGTGTTTAGATATGATTAGATACACAAATACCTACCATTGTGTTACAGTTGTCTACAGTATCCATTATAGTAACATGCTGTATAGGTTTGTAGACTAGGAGTAATAAGCTATGCTATATAGCCTAGGTGTGTTGCAGGCTACAACATCTAAGTTTGTGTATGTAGACTCTATGGTGCCTGCATACCAAAATAATTTACCCATGCCTTTCTCAGAATGTACGCCTAACTGTAAACATTGAATGCCTGTACATCTTAGTCTGAAATACAGACAGCAAATGACACTCTAAGCATATAAGCACTTAAAGATATCACAATGGGAAATGGTGACCAGTGTGATAAATATAACTAAACTTTTAAAATATCTAACATTTTTTAAACATTACTAAAGGCAATAAACAGAAAAATATTTGTCACAAATATTACAGACAAATGCTTAACATTAATTTATAAACAAGGTCAAAAAAAATTGCAAAATTTATCTAATATACAATTAGGAAAAGGAGTATGAAATTTCAAAAGACAATTCACTGGGTAAAGAAATGACTGCTAAACATTTAAATATTCAATCACCTAATTCAAGAAAGGCTAATTTAAAGAATAATACATTATTTCTCCTGTTGATTTACCAAAGCTTAAAAAAAAAAAACTTTAACCATCATCAGACATGGAAAGAAGAGTCAACAGAAAAAAAGAATTAAAGATGATAGAAGAAAAGTAAATACTGACAATTACCTTTTTAGGAAAACAAAAAGGGGTTTGAGTGCTTTCTTTTCCACAAACATTGGGAAAGATGAAAAGATCTTCATGTAGAGATAGTGATCGATTAAAATGAGAAGGTGAAATGAGAAAGCCTGGGCCAAGTGTCTTGATTTTGGCTGAATGAAAGGCAAGATTAACAGCTAGAAGAAAGAAGGATAGGCCGGGCGCGGTGGCTCACCCCTGAAATCCCAGCACTTTGGGAGGCCGAAGCGGGCTGATCACGAGGTCAGGAGATCGTGACCATCCTGGCTAACATGGTGAAACCCCATCTCTACTAAAAATACCAAAAATTAGCCAGGCGTTTTGACGGGCGCCTGTAGTCCCAGCTACTCAGGAGGCTGAGGCAGGAGAATGGCCTGAACCCTGGAGGTAGAGCTTGCAGTGAGCCGAGATAGCGCCACTGCACTCCAGCCTGGGTGATTGGGTGACAGAGCGAGACTCCGTCTCAAAAAAAAAAAAAAAAAAAAAAAAAAAAGAAAGAAAGAAAGAAAGAAGGAAAGAAAGGATAATGAGAAATCAGAATAGGAAATACCCAGAGCAGTTAATAAAAGAATAAAAAAAAGGCTGCTAAAGAGCAGCAAGAATAAAACTTATACTAGGACTTTGTAAATTATGGTGAGCCAAGCCTGTTAGAGTGTAAGATTTTTTTCGTTTTTCCCCACTCCCATCACCAACCTCCCACCACTCCCACCAGGGGTTACTCTCTCAGCCTCCCACCAGCAGCCATTATGTCCATGTACTCATAGATGCAATGCTTAAGTGATTAGAATCCAATAGTGTATCAGGGAAGGGCATCAATAAAATAATTTATCCTGTAGTCCATGGTTGGAAGAGCCTACTGAAATGAAGAAAATGTGAATATTTGAAGAATAGATGTTTGAACCCTTGAAGGTTCTAGGAGAAATGAGAATGAAATAATTTCTAAAAGGAATAGTATAAATTGCAAATTACAGAGCTAGAAATTCTGAAGGCAAGGTGATTCATGTTACCTTCAGTTTTAGAGATGAACTTACTAAAACTTGAACTGATCTCTATTGCGTATATTTCCATCAGATCTGTGAGAGTTTGAAGTTCAAATATGCTGATATTTTTTATGGGCAAGTATATAAAACTCCAAAGGTCTATGCTTTGACCTATAGAACTACAGTGGGATGTCAAGGAACTGGTCAAGTTCAAAACTTTGCCTAGTTACGAGGCTAACCAATATCCCATTTCTTCTGGGGGCTTTCAGTGTGTTAGTATTCCCACAGTTGTTACGGACAGTTCCAAGTACAAACACTTCCCTGCCCTGCTTCCCCCTGCTTTCACTTTCCCAACCCGGATTACACACAGACTATCATTGAAATGACTCAACTTTTCTCAAATTACTCAAAGTCATTTGCCCATTTTTTACCCTTGCAGATTCACACTTTAATCTAGCTTTAACACTCTAAAAGGATATCCACCCACTGATCAATGGATCCTAAACTTGCCTTTGATCCCTAATAGTTGTGTGACCTTAGCGAAATAATTTTATTTTTCTGTACCTCAATTTTTGCCTCCAAAAATGAATACTGTACATGTATTTGAATAACCTATGTGCAGGTATACAATAGAGGCCTAATAAATATTAGTGTCCTTTCTCCTTTTCCATCTCATCAGATCTTCACTGCTCAAAACTTCCCAGATTTTCTCCCCTGGTTACCTCTCTCCAACTCTTCCCTCAGACATACACAAGTCTCTTTTCAGATCTCAAAACTCCTTTTCTGGCAGCCTCTTCCTTTCCCACAAGTTCCCCTTTGATCCTTCCCCATCATAAACATTTTCCCTTATTTCTTCTTTCCAGAGGTCAGAATCTGATCTCTATTGAAAGCAAATGCCAAATTTTTCCCAATTTCTTATTTTCTCTCCATTCTAAAAGATTGCCAGTTACTCCAGTACTCACCATGCCAGACTGTATTTGGGAGACACTTCATCAGGTCTAAAAGAGTTAGTACCTGTGGTTTCCTGTGGTTTGCTTTGGCTCTCAGGTGCTTAGAGGTAGGAACTGATAGAGGCTGAAAGAGCACATGGTGGTCATGATTTCACAGGAAGTCCTGCCGGTTTGTTGCTGTAAAATGGAGAAAACAGAAGTTCATAGTTTGAATGAATATGGATTACAATAGAGCAAGATACAGCCATAGAATTTTTAAAGACGAGCATTTAACTAACTTGGTGTGCAACTTTCGGGAATTTTAATTATTTATAAAGAAACCATTTCTCTATATAATGAAAAGATTTAAACATGCACATTCTAGACTAGTGCTGTGTAGTTGAAATATAATGTGAATTTCATATGTAATTTTAAATTTTTTAGTAGCCATATTGAAAAAAGTAAAATTAACTTCACTAATATATTTTAGTACAATATATAAAAAAAGTCATTTAATTAATCAAAAAGTTGAGATATTTTACATTATATTTCTTGTACCAAGTCTTCCAAATATGATGTATATTTTACACTTATAGTATATCTCATTTCTGACTAGCTATATTTTAATTGCTCAGTTGCTTCAGGTGGTTAGTGGCTACTCTAATGAATAGCACAGTTTTATACATTACAAAATAGAGTATTTAGCCAGGCACAGTGGTGCATGCCTGAAATCCCAGCTACAGGAGGCTAAGGAAGGATGATGACTTGCCAGTTTGAGGCGGTAGTGCACTATGATCACACCTGTGAAAAGCCACTGCACTCTAATCTGGGCAACATAGTGAGATCCCAACTCTTAAAAAAAAATAGCACATTTATATTTCTCTGAATACCTAAATTTCAGGAGCGATGATATAGATAGAATAAAAAATTCCTGTCTTCATGTTGATTAGAAACATAAAATCATAGTAGGCTGATAATAACCAGCCTCCTCCCCAAACCCCCAAAAAAGATATCCATACCCTAATTTCTGGAACCTGTGAATGTTATTTTATCTGACAACAAAAGATTATGTAGATGTGATTACATTAAAGATCTTGAGGTGGAGACATTATCAGGGATTAACAAAGTGGGCTCTAAATGGAATCACATGCGTCCTTATAAAAGGGAAGTAGAGGGATATTTTACAGCAGAGGAAGAAAATAAGAAGGTAATGTGATGACCAAAGCCATGACTAGAGTGACACAGATTTGAGCCAAGAAATGTCTGCAGCCATTAGAAGTTGAGAGAGGCAAGGAACAAAATCTCCCCTTGAGCCTCCAGAGAGAATATAGCCATCTTGATTTAAACCCAGTAGTACATACTTTGGACATATTTTGAGCATCCAAAACCATGAGAGAATATATTTCTGTTGTTTTAAACCACAAAGTTTGTGATAATTTGTTACAGCAGCAACAGGAAACTGATACACAAGTCATTTATAGTAATGACATTATATTTTCTCGTTTGTCATCAATGTGTAAACAAATGCCATTCATCCTATCTCTAGAAATTGCCAATAATGTGTTCAACAAATATTGATGCTAAAAATGCCTTACCAGATCTTTCATCTCAAGTGGTTGCATTGACTGCCCATATGCTGAAAAATTTAAAATTTATATTTCTATATTTCAGCACTCCCCTGCACTGCAAATTAGTGTTTTCAAATATCTCCTGTGCATTGCCACCTATATGTTCCACAGTCGTAAAAATAAATGCTCAACATTGCTAATCAACAGATAAAGGCAAATTAAAATCATGTTGAGAAATCAACTTACACCAGTTGGAATAGTCGTTATTAAAAAGACAAAAAATAACATGTCCCAGCCACGTGTGTCTGTCTTGTCCCATAGCCTGTGAGTTTCAAATTGCTAAGCCTCCACTTAAGTAAGGGCTATATAGAATGTAGGAAAGTATATGTACATGAAATATGTGTAAAAAATAGAGGCTGAAGATGATATTATGTATTTTATGCTGAATATTGACAACTAATTGTTTCATTGATTGCACATTCATTTTGCAATAAACTCTTTTTAGCAGCAATGAACCAAAAACATTTAATTCTGAAGAATAGGTGTTTAATAAAAAATTCAGTAATAACAATTGATAATGAACATATAACTTGCACAAAATATCTGTTGATATTTCTCATCTAACATATGTGGGGCCATAGAAATATTAAAAACCCCACAAAAGCTAGGTCATAAATCTTCAGAAAAAAATATCAGCATGAGTTTAACAATTAGTACTTTTAAAAAGGAAACCATGTCAGTATTAGTAGATTTTGGTTTAATTCATATAGTCATGGAAAACAGGTTTCAATGGAATGTGACTTTTCATTTAGATTAAATGACTACTCAAAATTATTGTTCTTCTTTTTCAATCTCAAGTTTTCTTGCATGCATGAAAACAGTATAGGGACAACTGTTTATGGAGTAGGGCTATTTCTGAAAAAACTTTGCAAACAGTTAAATGACGTGTGGTTCAAATTAGTCTCAACAGTTATTTCAAATAAAAAGTTTTATTAGCACAATAGTAGTTATATTTTCATGTAACTCATGGACACTAAAACTTTTAGAAGTTAATTTTTCAATGGTAAAACATCAGAGAATTATTGAATATTATTCTGAATAGTTGGAATTTCAACCTTGAAGACTAAAATGATATGTTTTAGGGAAATAAAAATATAAATGTTTGTGGATCAAAATTCATGATAGAGAATTAAGAAATACATGAAATATAAATATATTTGGAATTGGTTCTATTAAATCCCAACAAGTTGTAAGATTTTACCAGCCTAATATACCAAGCTATATACCACAGCTTCTATATAGACACACAAACACACATACACATTAAAATGAAGCTTCACACTTTCTCTCTTTGCTGCTTATCATCAATTAAATTATGGAAATAGTTTAACCTTTACTAAACAATCTTGTAAGCCAATCTAAGTGTCCTACCATGGTATTGAATTGTGTTGTGAATGGTTTTTCTAAATTTGTTATTTATTTATTTATTTATTTTTCTGGGCCTCGCATACCTATTTTTTATCCAGTTACATTTAAAAAACTTTTTTTATGTTGAAAATCTAATAAAATTACCCAAAATATCAACATTGACACAGAAAATTGAAATTATTGAAATTAAAAATTGGAAATAGAATAGTATTCCATGGTGTATGTGTAACACATTTTCTATATCCAGTCTGTCATTGATGGGTATTTTGGTTTATTCCATGTCTTTGTTATTGCGAATAGTGCTGCAATGAATATACACATGCATGTGTCTTTATAAAAGAGTAATTTATATTTCTATGAGTATATACTCAGTAGTGGGATTGTTGGGTCAAATGGTATTTCTGTTTTTAGGTCTTTGAGGAATTGCTACACTGTCTGCCACAATGGTTGAACTAATGTACACTGCCACCAACTGTGTAAAAGAGTTCCTTTTTTTTCACAACCTCACCAGCATTTGCAACTTTTTGACTTTTTAATAATAGCCATTCTGACTGGTGTGAGATGGTATCTCATTGTTGCTTTGATTTGCATTTTGAGGGTAGAGAGAGAAAGGAAGGAGAGGATAAGGAAAAATTACTAATGGGTACTATCCTTAATACATGGGTAATCAAATAATCTGTTTACAACAATCCTCCACGACACAATCTTACCTATGTAACAAACCTGTCCATCTACCCCTGAACTTAAAATAAAGGTTAAAAAAATGGCATTCATGTTTTATATTAATTGGAAAGGTATGGAATACACAGAATAAATTCTGAGGAAGTTAAATGGAAAAAAAAAAAAAGAATAGCACTTTTCTCTATTGTTATGAACTGAATGCTTACATTCCCCCAGAATTTATAGGTTGAAAACCTAACCCCCAATGCAATGCTATTAAAAGATATAGGCCTTTGGGAAGTGTTTAGGTCATGAGGGTGAAGTCCTCATGAATAGAGTTAGTGTTCTTATAAAATAAACTTCAGAGAGCTCTCTAGCATTCTTTGTCACGTGAGGATTCAATGAGTTGACAGTCTGTAACCTCATCAGAGCCCAAATATGCTGGCACTCTGATCTCAAACTCCCAGCCTCCAGAACTGTGAAAAATGCATTTATACATTTCTATTGTTTTTAACCCACTGTCCATTTTTTGTGATAGCAGACATCTGCAGAATTGACTAAAACGTCCACAGAAACAAACAAACAAAATTAGAAAATTTGATGATGAGAGTTCAGTGTACACAATTTATTTACATATTTATTTACTCATTTATTTTTTAGAGCCAGGGTCTTGCTCTGTCACCCAGGCTACAGTGTAGGGGTACAATCATATCTCACTGTAACCTCAAACTCCTAAGCTCAGGTGATTCTCCCACCCTCCCCACTCAGCCTCTGTAGTAGCAAGGATTCATAGGCATGTGCCGCCATGCCCAGCTAATTTGTGGTTGTTTGTTGTTGTTGGAGAGACAGGGTCTCACTATGTTGCCCCGCTAGTCAGGAACTCCTGGCTTCAAGCAGTCCTCCCTACTCAGCCTCCCAAAGCATTGGGATTACAAGTGTGAGACACTGTGCTGGCCCATAATTTACTTTTCAAAATCTACACTTGATCTACAGAACAACCTCTCTTCTGAGAGAAAGTTCTGAAGGTGCTTTTTTAAGAAATTGAATAAATTAATATTATTTACCCAAATGGAATGAAATTGAGCCCTTTGCTTTTTGTAGCATCTAAATTTGGCAAGACTTATAAAAGAACCATAGGATCACCTTATTTGATGGGTGTTGTTACATAAAAATATTTATTGAAGAAAGTTATTCTGAATAAAAGCAAAATGGCAGTGCCAGTTAAAATATGTAGACTGAAATTTTTAAATGTTTCAATAAAAAGATAGAATGAAGAATATAATTAATTTGGTAGAATTAACCCTGAGCTTACTGAAACCTTAGGAAAAATATAGAAGAATTTTCTCAATTAAAAATATATATTTTTGGCCTGCAGAACCGTAACAATAGAAACAATAGCATCAATAAACCATTTCAAATTTATTAGCCTTAAAGTGCAACTATGTAGGAAATTACGAGGAGCATCTGAACATACATTCTTTAGTGACTTGATTTTAGAGACAGATATGGCTAAGAAATTGCCAAAAGCATGTGAATATGAGTCAAATATAATCTTTCCACCTAAATTTTAAAGTAATTTTTAACATTTTGCTTTGCTTTGATATACACAGGTATACGTTTTTATTAGTATACATAATTTTATTTGTACAAAATTTTAAAAAATAGTTTTTGAATAAAAGATTTTTTATATGTTCAACAGCATAAAAATCAACAAAATCATTAATAGATAAATGTCAACATTACAAAGTTTGATTATTTTATAATCTACTTTCACCTTTATAAGTTTTCTGATTTGGACTAAAAAATGATACTATCTTCCTATCCAAACCTGAACTCATAGGACCATCTGGGGATCTTCCTTCTTACCTGTCCTGACTTCACATACAGTTGCTGACTATAGCCCACCAATTTTTTCAAAATAGTTTGTTCTTCATCTTTTCTTCACTGGTTTAGTGTAGGCCTTCATCATATCTTGTAAAAATCTGTGGTAACCTCCTAGTTCAATCCCTGTCTCTTCTCTACGAACACTCAATTCATTAGTCCTACTGCTATCATACACATTTTCAAAAAGGAAAATCAGATTTTGTTATCCAAAGGTATCGATTTCCTCAATCAGGGGTGTTTTATAACCATAGTCTAAATATCAAACACATTACATAAAATTGTAAAATATTTTATGATTTAATCTTTGCTTTTGCTTTTGTCTTCAACCATTTATCTTGTTCTTCTTCATTCATCTCTGGTCATATGTTCCTCCTCTTTGCCTTTGCACATGATTTTTCTCCTCCCCAGAGTAAACACTTGCCTAAAGTACTTGGAAATTCTCCTGTTAGATTTCAAGTGATATTAGTTAGTTCAAGTGATATTGTTTTCTCTGTGAAGACTTCCTTGTCCATATTGCAAAGCTGAAATTATAATTCTCTTTGTCCCACACTATATATAGTGTATGTATGTGTAATTATATGTGTGTGTAGTAGTAGTAGTCACTCTTATTACACTAGATTTTAAGTATTATTTTAAGTCTGCCTTGCCTTCTGGACTTTGAGACATTGAATGCTGACTTTTAGTTTTATCCACTGAAAATGGACAAATGCCTATTCCAAATAGACACTCAGAAAAAAAAGTCTTTGTTTCCTCAGTAGTTGGAAGGAAGAATGAATGACATATACACTGACTGTTCAAATTTATCTGTATTTCAGCATGTTATGTGTTTCTTGTGGATGTATAAACACACACAAAACCAATGCAAAATTTACATAAAATTAAAAAATGCAAAAAACTGAACTGATAATGATAAAGAATTCACACACTTTTTTTTTTTTTTTGCCAGATGTGTTTTTTTTTTTCTTTTGTTCTGCCTCCTAGATTTGGAAGTTTGCCCTCAACAATGTTGATCATTGAATCTGACAAGAACACCTGCATCTGGTGTATTTAGTTAGAAAATCTCCGGATTATTTAATAATCTAGTTTTATATTGGATTGTCATCACAAATGGCATAAACTTTACTGTATATCAAAAATATTTTGTATATTTAAATTGCAATTTACTTTGTATTAGTGTTGTTATAATAACTAGCAAATTTAATTTTTTTGTCAGTTTCTATAACTGATATAACTATATTACCTAAAACCTAATTTGGGGGATTAAATTTTAATATAAAGCATGAATTTACTTGTAATTGCCAAAAACCTTTTCTCTCATTTCCAATTGTCCATGAAATAGACTGTAAGCATCCAATAAATTACATAACAAATTATTTTTCTTGAATTAAACATGTACATTTTCCAAACCTATACTTTCTGTATCTTCTTCTGTTTGTCCAAGAAAACTATTTTACAATTATGGCAGGTACAAGTATAGATTTAAAACAGTCTTAATTATATTTGCTAATTGGTAGCATATTAATTCTTAATTCTACCTTCTAATCTCATAAATAGTAGGTTCAATTGTGTCTGTATGTCTGTGAGTGTGGGAGTTTTGGACTCATCCATGGCTGCATTAAATTTGATGATCATAAAAATGAAAATTGATATTGGTGAAAATGACAATGATGGTGACAGAAGTAATTGTTTTTTGATAAACAATATGATTTCATAGATACGTGTTATTAGGCTCACATTATTGATCAAAGAACTAAATTTAAGAGCAGTGACTTGACCACATGCATTCTACATGGATGAAGATGGACACAAACAAGTCAAATTTAATGTTGTTTTCATTATGTATGAATATAATTCATGAGTCTATTTGATTACATTGAACCTTACAAAACTGAATTTAGTAGACTGATAAGGTACCTTTTTCAGGATAATTTGTTTATGATTTTCAAGTAATATCTTGCATACAAACTCGTTTTTTAATGATAAAATAGAAAAATTTTGGCCAGGTGCGGTAGCTCATGCCTGTAATCCCAGCACTTTAGGAGGCTGAGGTGGGTGGATTACCTGAGGTCAGGCTGAGTTTGATACCAGCCTGGCCAACCCTGTCTCTACTAAAAATACAAGAATTAGCCAGGCGTGGTGGTGTGAGCCTGTAATCCCAGCTACTTGGGAGGCTGAGGCAGGAGAATCACTTAACCTGGGAGGAGGAGGTTGCAGTGAGCTGAGATCATACCACTGCACTCCAACCTGGGCAACAGAGTGAGACTTCATCTCAAAATAAATAAATAAATAAATAAGAAAAGAAAAGAAAAGAAAAAAATTCCAGCACCTTCAAATAGCAGATTTTCTCACTCTAAAATATAACGTAGTCTATTGAGCACTATTAATTAAGAGGACAATATACATCCAGAGAAGGAGATTATACGTATTACCAACTCTTCCAGATTTAGAAACACATGCTGCATTTCCAGGCACTTCGGCAAATTTGAACAATTTGAGATTCTAAGAAATATGAAAGCAAAGTTTTTTTTTGAACAGCAACATTAACCATGAGACCAGCATTTAAACAGAGAGAGCAGAGATCCAGGAATTGTGAACATATGGAGGAAATTATTTAAAACAGTAATTATCTTATTAGTTGTCTTGCAGAATGAACATTTAAAATGGAAATGTTCTCCAGTAAACGCTAAAATCAGGCCAGTCTGCTTCTACTAGAAAGAAAGAGATATATAAAATAGTCCAGAATATGAAAATTGTCCTTAATATTAAGAACTTGCAGCCAAAACTATTCCTTAAATTCATATTCCCCATTTTCATTTCTAAATGAGTTATAAAATCACATATAAGTTTTCTTTCAAATAATTTGCTTGAGAAACACATTGTGGTTGGTACAAGTGTCAACCCACTATTAATGACATCAAAATAGAAATACTGTGTCTAAAACCTGGACTTCATTTTACTGCATAAAGAGTTAATAGTTTTTCAGTGGAGAAACCAGTATCAATTGTATTATTAAATAATAATTACCTACCTGCCAGGTTACTGTGATTTTTGGCATCATTGGCATACAGCGATAGTTTGGCCAAATATTGTTTCTATTACTACCATTTCATTCCCAGAGGTACTCTTTGGCTTTCTAAATTGATCTGATATCCGTAGTGCTTCCAGGAATAAGGTTTAAAAATACAACAGTGATCCTGTGGATAGGTATATAGAAATGTGGGAATCCAAGTATACATTTTTTTCCATTTGGGAATTATAATACATTTTCTAGCTATTGTAAACTTTTCAAATATACATATTTGCTCTTGATGTAAACTTTAAAGCAAAGTATAGTCAAATGATAAAAGTTCAAAGCACTACAGCCATATTGCTAAAATTTTATGTATCTGAAAATTAGGTTTTTTAAAAAGCAGCTTTTAAAGTCTATTCCTTCACATTGTGTTAAATATAAATTTCATGGATTTATTACTCTGCATTTAATCTCCCTCATCTCTCCCTTAATTTAACTTGAAACTTCTGATTTTATGTCACTTTCCTATACTATAACCAGAATATTCATGTTGATGTTATCCCCAGTCTTTTATAGACTTTCTAACAAATGAGTTTTATAATTATTATCACTTTTTCTGACTGTATTATTTTCTATTAATATTTCCTCAATATTACTCTTCTCCATCAGGAGCTACTCGAAAGTATCAATTTTGTCTTTTTTCTTTTTGCTATTATTGTTTTATGGATTGTTGGCCTTGGTTACTTATCTGCCGTATACCAAATTTTCTCTTTAGCTTAACTTTGTGTCAATATAGTTATTTCTAATTTACCCAGAATTCTCAAAAACATATATATGTGTCTTATTTTGGGTGGGCTTTATTTTAAACAACTCTAAAAGAAAATTATGATATATGTTTTCCTCTTGTTACATTAATTCTCTTCTACTTTGGATACTGAGTGAATTTAGAACAGCATTTCTGAATGTTTTAATATACGTTGAAAGGCAGAAAAATTTTCAAGGACCAAATAACTTTATGAATCATTTGATTAAATATCATTAAATTGTGATCTTTACTGCAAAACCTTAAAGAATATTTTTCAGGCTAATGAACTTAATAAATCTCTAATATAATCTTCCAAACTCGTTTGCCAAATAATCTTTTCTTGTCCAAGAATCCTATAGATTAGCATTTATCCAAACCCAGTTTAGGAGGAATGTGGATTACATGTAAATCGCTTCAATATTATATTGTACATAATCTCTCTTTCTCTCTCTCTCTTTGTCTCTCTGTCTCGTTATCCTCCCATTCCAAAAGAAATACCTACTATGTTCCTATTATTCTTCCAGGGAGTGGGAATAGAGTGATAAAAAGAGTAGAAAAAGTCACTGCTCTTAATACAGTATATAGCTAGAGGAAATAAAAATAATATACAAGTAAAATAAATTCAAGTAGAGATGAGTACTATGCCCCAAACACCATATAATACAGTAGATAAAATAGAGAGAACTGAGGTAATTATTTAGATCTCAGGGTAATTCTCTCTGAGATGTCACTTGGGCTGAGACCTCAGTGAAAAAAGAAAGCCAGCCATGTGAAGATCAGAGTGCAGAGAGTGCCAAGAAAAGAAGAAAGCAGGCTCAAAATTCTAAGGATGGAAATAAGTTTAGTGTTTTCCAGGAATGTAGAGCATCAAGTGTGGTTAGAATAAAATCAGTGAGGAAAAAGAGATAGGCAGTGGAGAGTGAGGCAGTGACTACATCATGGGTAGACTGGTGTGGAGCTTTGATTTTATTCGAAGTGCAATGAGAAGCCATTGGAGGGTTTTGAGCAGAGGAATGACATGAATTTTAAAAGATCACATTGGCAGCTGTGTGAAGAATGTCTAATTAGGGGGAATAAAGTAGAAACAGACAAACCATTAAATAGACTATTGAATTTTCCCAGATGAGGGAAGATTTCTTGGGCATGAGTAGTAGCAAAGCAAATAAGAAGTATTTTGAAAAGAAATAACAGTATTTGCTGATGGATAGAATGTGGGTGCCGCGAGGAAGAGAATAAATGATAATTCCTAGGTGAGATTAAACAACAGAGTGAATGTGACACTGCTAATTAATATGAGAAAGACTGGAGGAGGAGGAGGATGGGTAATAATACAAGGATGAGAAGATAATTATGCTTTGAGACCCAACAGGAGAAATGAAATAAACACCTAGTTAAAT